>NC_000010.11:52870368-53021883 GCF_000001405.40 Homo sapiens
AAGAATTATGGACAATAATAATAGAATGGTTAAGAACATGGGTGCGAATTACTTGGGTTTAAATCCCAATATGATCTTTGAGTAAGTAACTTCTTTCTTTGCCTTGGTTTTCTGACATATAACTGAGAATGCCACCTGCTTCATTGAGTTGTAGAAGTAAGTGAGCCATTATCTGAAAAAAAAAATTGTTCCTCATCTACAGTGGGCCCACACTTAGGGTTAGTTATTGCTTTTGTAATTTGTTTTGAAGGCTTTTAAGCAAGGGAATTAAAGAAGGTGAGCAAGTGTGATTGGAGAGTTTGAAGATCATTTCAGATAAGTACATAGACTAAGGCCATTAGGTGAGAAATAAAAATAATCAACCAGTGCTATACAACAGTTCCAAAGTCCACCCTTCATAAATATTTCGTTCTGCTCCCCCGACTTCCAGGATGACTGGAATAACTGGTTGTTTAGGTATCTTGTAGATAAGGTCAGTCAAGTCTCTCTCTCTGGACAGTTCTATTCACAAGAATATATTTGTCACCATTTTTATAGTTCAAGTCCGAAAATGAGGGCATTACCTTTCTACTTTATGAAAATACTCCCCAAAGGCAGTCCTTGGGGATTTGTAAATACTCTTGGAGCTTCAAAACTTAATTTTTAAAATAAGCCGTTTCAAATGGACAAATTAAAATGATCTGCCATTATTATGTCATTATGTCATTCTATTTTGTATGATAAACTGAATGTAATGTATTTTACATAATATAATGAAACAGTTCAAAATATTTAGCTAAGACTTTGCTCAAAGTCAAAAATATTTTGTTAAAGTTTTTTCACCATTTTGGGTTAATGTTGGCACTGGATCCAAAAGTTTATCATAATTAGACGTTTTCTTTTTTTCAACAACCTTCATTTTGTCTTTAGCCCACTCGGCTTGGCTTTAATGAGAGCTGACAACTCTAAGGTCATATTAGTAGTGGTTACTGCAGCTGCACTGGGTGTGGTGAATGTATCTGTGAAGAAATCTGTGTCTCAACCCCACTCGGGGCAGCTGCCTTCAAATGGAGCCAAGATTGGAGCCAGCCAAATGAACCACAGCGACGAATCGGTATCAAAGGGAAAGGTAGAGGAAATCCTATCTCGGGAACCCAGGGATCAGCCCAGCCCGACAAGGGCCTCGTGAGCGGGCAAGGGAGCAGTCCCGCTGCAGGAACTGCCTCGGAACCCGGGTTTCCTAAAGCAGCGCAAAGCCCTCCGTATACCCACGCGCTGGCGTGAGCATGCCCACTCCTGCTGCGCAACGCTGGGAGGCGCCCATTTCTCCTCTGTCCTCTGGAGGTCGCAAGGCTGTAGGGCTGGGTGATGCACTGACGGAGCAGCAAAGATTCTGCAAACGATTGTGTTGTGCTTTGGCTAAAGGCAGCCCTGAGGATTATAGCAGTGAAGGTCACTTGCAAATATAGTTCCTGGCTCCAGGTCTGAAGAAATTTTACTTTCAGGGCTTGAAAACTAAGGTTCAGAGAACTCACCAGGCAATATGAAGATTTTGTAGACAGCTGCCCTGGCAGAGAGAAGGGGACTAGTTGTCAGCAGACCTTGGCAAGAGCCCAGCAAAGCGGAGCTATGGTGGGAGGGGGAAACAAGGCGGTTATTGGGGAGCTGGACTTTCATGTTACATAAAACAGCCCTACATGTTAATACAACTTCTGTATATGAAAACAACTGTGAACCAGCATAAAAGGATTTTTGTTTTTGTTACGATCTCCTTTCTCAGTGATTGCAAAGAGAAGTGCCCCCATTTAGTCCCCTAACACTTTCCAGGGGTTTTGTAAACTAAGCTTTACTTCTTCGAGATTTCCATGGATTCTTAAAGCACACCATTACTGACAGCAACCATATACAATAATACCTACCTGAAGTTTAGTCACTGGTATAGCAGGATACATTTTCTGATTTATATACAAAACACATAGGGAAAGACAAAACGATTTTAGGTTCTTGAACTTTAAAAAATAACTTTTGTTTCATTTTATCACAAACTAATTTATATCTTTTACCGAAAACTTAGAAAACACAGAAAGACAAACTGAAGACAAATAAACATCATTATAACCCTACTGTTCTGAGATAACCAAAATGTAATTTGTATGTTCTTTGGTGGCAGGAACCATACATTGTTTACTTCTGAATTTTCACAGTGTTCAGAGCCGTCACATAGATGAAGTCATTGGTTTTTTAGAGGCCAAGGGAAAACTTCCCCTTTGCCCTCTGAAGGTTTGCTCAAACATCGACTCACAAAAGACAGAAATGGCATACAAAATTATTAGCATGCACAGGGGAGGAGCACAGAGTATATATCCCAATGGATTACAGATAATTATATATCCTTTTCCTTAGGGGAAAAGGAGATGGAGAAGTATGGATGATTTGACGGAGCATAATAAATTATCTTTAGGAGAATTCAATGGGCTTCAATAACATACAATGGCCTGGGACAAAGTCTGTTGGGCCCTTAGAGCAGACAGTGATTTGTGACAAAAGTCTGTCCAAGTGTGTTGACAGATTTCAGTCTTTCTTTCTGCAAGATGAGTTCAGTTAATAAAAGCTTAGAAAAGGAGCCCAAGGTAACTGTTTTCTTCTTTGGCATGTCTGAAATTTGGGCAGATGAAGAAACTTCAGAGAACAACTTATATTCTGTGCTTTGGAAATGACAAAGGATTGATAGACAGGAGGAGCAGGGCAAGGTCAGAGACCTAAAACCTTCTTCTTCAGTTCTCATGTCAAAGTGCTAGATTTTGGGATAATGGTTTCTGAGCTCCCACAGTTTCAACCTTGATGGAGCATCTGTGATATCTGTAGAATGAAAAATAAGTACATAAACAAAATGCCTACGCCTGTGCTCTACCTCAAACTTACTGCCTCAGATTGTTTTAGTGGTGGCTAGATCGTAGTATTGCAAAGAAACTCCACGGTGATTTTGTCACAGTTGCCAAGTAATAGATTTAATACTGAAAAACAGTTTTTAAATCAAATGAAATGTTTTGGGTTTTGTTGTAAAATAAAAGCGGGCATACAAACAAGACGTAGTTATCTTTTTCCCCAACTGCTGACTTTGCTCACATTCCTTAATGCCTCAAGCCAGCAGGGAGCTACCATGCATGTTTGAAAATAAGTGTTTCACATCTTGAAGGTTTAACTTCAATCTTGTTGAACAAGGCCTGGCCCATAATTTTACTTAATCACTCCATGCCTAATTTTTAAGGTTGGCTATTCTGTGTGCCACTTAATCAAACATCTAATAGCAATCTTCAAATATCATTATATAGTTTGAACTTGACTCCACCCTTGCTTCAATTGGAAGCATGATTTTTTAAATTCTTTTAAATTTGAAAACACTTAGAACACATCTTTTGGCTTCGTTTTAGTTTACCATTAAGTTAGTTCTGGTTTTGATTTTGGCTTTTCTCAATTTCTTCCTCTTTGAAACAGGCCGACACTCTGGCCTTTGCCCACAAGGGGATCTTAGAACTCAGAGACCAGATAATACAATTTAGTTGAAGTCCCCTAAGATTTTTCTCTTCACTTTGGAGTCCTTCTTTTCTTATTTAAAATTCTGTATACAAGTCTATTGTGCACACTTTATTCATCCACTCCACAAATACTGATGGAACACTCATTATGTCCCTGGTACTGTTAGAGGTTCTGGGGATTCAAGAACGAATAAAACATACAAAGATCCAGCAATCTAGTAGATTTTACAATCTAGTGGGAGGGGACTGAAAATAAAGCAGTGACTATGTAATATGTCAGGTATTAATTCATGCCATAAGAAACAATTAAGCTGCTTATGAAGTGTCTATTTTGCATAGAGTGGAAAGAGAAAGTTCTCTTGAGAAGTAGCGGATGGCTATTTCATATAGGAAGGATAGAGAAGGCTTCTCTTTCATCAGAGAATCTAAGGCAGCGGGGAGCAAGCCATGAATATGTCTGGGGAAAAGAATGTTCCAGGCTGAGGCCACAATAGATTAAAAACCCTTTGGATCATATATGGATAAAGAAGAGGCCAGAGTGGCTGGGGCACAATAATGAAAGTCACAGAGGCAGGAGATAAGGTCAGAGAGATAGTGCAGGGGATAGGCAAGATCATGTAGAGACTTGTAGGCAAAGTAAAAATGTGGGATTACGTCTGAGCTAAGAAGCTATTGAAAGAGATTGGAAGAAATAGTGACATAATCTGACATATTTTTAAAAGATCACACTGAACACTGGGAGGAAATAAGAGTGGGGGCTGTTGCAAATATCTCACTGAGGAGAAAGGTGGCTAGGATACGGTTAGTAGTAGCGGAGGTGGTAAAAACATTGTCAGCTTTTGATGGTAGAGCCAACAGGATTTGCTGAGGACTAGATGAGGTATGACAGAAAAAGAGGAGTGAATGTGACTCTGAGGTTTTTGGCTTGCATAACTGACAGTGGAGTTCTCACTTACTGCAATGGGTAAGAAAGTGCAAGAAGCTTTTTGGATGTAAGTGAAATTAAGGGTGCGATTTTAGACGCATTAAATTTGAGATGCCTGTTAGATATCTAAATGGTGATAAAAACAGGCAGATGGGTACAAGAAGTTGAGTTCAAGGGAGAGGTTGGGACAGGAGTTATAAATTTGGGGATTGTCGGCTTTAAAATGATGTATCTGTCAGGACTGGATTTGGTTGCAAATGCCAGAATACCAAAACTACATTTGTTTTTTTTTGAGACAGATTCTCACTCTGTCATTCAGGCTGGAGTGCAGTGGCACCATCTAGGCTCACTGTAACCTCGGCCTCCTGGGTTCAAGCGATTCTCATGCCTCAGCCACCTGAGTATCTGGGATTACAGGCATGTACCACCATGCCTGGCTAATTTTTGTACTTTTAGTAGAGATGGGGTTTTGCCATGTTGCCCAGGCTGGTCTCAAATTCTTGGCCTCAAGTGATACTCCCACCTCGGCTTCCCATTGTTTTAAATGAACTAGGAATTTATATCTCTTTCATGTAAAAAGTCTGAAGGTGAGCAGTTCACAAGTATAACTCCACAATCATCAGGGAACTAGACTTTTTCTACCTTATTGCTCTGCTATCAGTATGTGACTTTGATCTTATGGTAAAATGTGGCTGCCTGACCTCCAGCTATTCTGTCTCCATTCATGCCAGCAGGCAGAGAAAAGAACGAAGAGAATGTGTTCCCTCCTGTTAAGAACTCTATCTAAAAGCCGCATGTGACATTTCTGATTACAGCCCACTGGGCAGAACTTAGTTATTTGGACACACCTAAATGCAACAGAAGTGCACTCTTTATTCAGGAAATCCATATACTAACTAAAATTTGGGGTCTTTCTTACCATTGAAGATAAACTAAAGTACTTTGTCACAAATGATATTTAAGTCAGCACTGGATAGATTACTTAAATATAGAGAAAGGGAAAAAAAAGATTAGCTCGTATTTACCTAAAGGCATAGGTACTTCTATGTTCTCAGTCTTCTGGCAAGGGCCAAACCTGTGTCTTGCTCTATTTATCTCCGTTAACTATTACTGTGGAATAAATTACTCCAAAGCAAAATGACATAATAACAATATTGTTATTACTTATACATCAATGGGTTTATAAGAGTTCAGCTGAATAATGTTTCTATTAATTTCTTTGAGGTTCGTATGAGGCTGCATTGGTTGGAAAGTGCAATATTGCCTCACTTACATTTCTAGTGCCTTGGTGGAGATGGCTGGAAGTCTAGGCTCAGCTGGGGTGTTAGGATGGCTGAGGCACTCTCTCCATGAAATTTCAGGGCCTCTCTCTCTCTACATAGCCTCTGTCTGTTGTTTCTCCATGTGGTCTCTCCAGCAGAGTAGCCTGGCTTATTACATGCTAGTTCAAGGCTCATAAGAGCATAAAAGCTACATGGACTTCTTAAGTCTTAGCTCCAAAACTGGCAGAATGCCACTTCTGCTGCATACCCTTGGAAAAGTACCCCAGAGCCAAATTTTTGGGAGAGAGACTTTCACAACAGCATGAATACCAGGAGGTAGGGCTCATTAGGGCTATTTTTGAAGATTAGCTACCATGTGTTCTAATGAACAAAAATGTGATATGCCTGCATCATCTAGAAAGCAGGTTGAAGATATTATTTTTCACAAGTGCAAAACCACAGTACCCTCACTATCATTGCTTGGACTCCTGGTCACTGTAGCAACGCTCTAATGGAGATCCACAGAAAATCCATCAAAAGGGACCTGAATGCCAAGGTGCTGTCATGTGAATTAGGTCAAATGAACATTTGAATGCATCCCATGTGCTAGGTGCTATGTTGAGAACTTTAACAAATATTATCAGATTAAGTTCTCACTAGAGCACCATGAAAAAATTATTATCTGCATTTCACACATGAGGTTGAGCAAATTGTCCAAGGTTACCCATTCTACTTTATGATAGAGCTGTGGGATTTAGTGCCTGTCATTCTCTCACACTTGACCTGCTACCTGTGTTAACTCACTTTGCATTTCATGCCTCTGTGGTTTTAAAAATGATGTTCCAGCAGGAACACCTGCTTCTCCTGTGGTTGCCTAGGCATTTATTTTCTAAATGAATTCAGGAGATCATCTTAGAAGCCTTCCCTGACCACCTCTTTCTTACCTGCTGATGTCTTTAGCCCTCTCTGTCTTTCTTAGGTGCTTTATGTACTCTTCTAACTGTGACTCAAAAAAGTATAATTCCAGTTATAATGTTTGTCTTTCTAATTGACTATGACCTCCAGTGAGGGCACAGACATTACAAAAAACTCATTTTGCCCCAAGAAACAGCCCAGTGCCTGGCAGTTAGTGATTTTGTTGATTAAAGATAAAATAGATGAAGGCATAATCTCTGCCTTTAGAGTAAGTCGTAAACTTCTGGGGCCAGGCAGGTAACATCAACATAGACAATATGAGCATAAACGGTAGAGAATGGAGGAGCATGGGGAGAATTCTATGGTGACTGCGGAAAGTTTGGCTCCACCTAAAGATATTCAAAATCAAATGTTTAGTTAAACAATAAACAACTTTTTAAAAAAGTATACAAACCAGAATAGTCTTGTGGCATGTGTTTTTCCACCTTTTCCTTAGAGACTTTATACAATAATGGGGACAAATTCTAAGGGAAATCTGCAAGAACTGGAGTAAATAGGAAGAGGTTTATCCATAGAGCTCCCACACTCTGCAGTGCACTAAAAGCACACAGCAGATTAATTATTTGGCTGGGCCACAGGCCATATCTTTAAGTAGCTTCTGTGGTAACAAGCACCTTCCCCTTCTTTATTTGGCACGTTCTTTATTCAGTGTCTGCGTAGTGCCCCACAGCAATGCATGAGTTGGCACATCTTCCAAAGACGTTTTTTGTGCCTGTAAATATTTTAAGAATTGAACTGCTCCTTTATACCAAAGGCTATCTGTGCTCTATTTAATACCCGTGATGGGGCCCTGATTCAATTCAGCTATATATAACAAGTTATTATTATTATTATTTTAATTACAATCAGATATATTAATTGGTTTATGGATGCAGAGCAGTTCTTCAAGGAGGCTACTTTATTTTTATGTGTTACAATTCTCATTCTGTGAGTGAATACTGCCCAATTAATCCTTGTGAGTTTTGGCCAATGAAACAGCTGGAGCCCAACTTAGAAGTCAGAGTAGTAGGCTTAAGCTGTCATGTTTATTTATTTATGAGAATTCAGTCAGTAGTGTTTTCATCATACTATCAAAATTTTAATGTACTCCTTTGAATTATATATTTAAAATTTTTAAGAGCCTAATTTTATTTAGGGAGCAAAGTTCAGTGGAGGTCAATCCAGAGAGGGGTTGCAGGTAGTTGTCAACTCTGCTTGTTTCACTGGAAGTTGTAAATTAATATCAACTAATTAAGGCAATGGCGCCCTTTCTAGAATTTTGTTTGTCAGCTATGATTTTAGCAATTCCATTGTGCTCATTGTTTCATGGTTACATTCACATTTGTACTCCTATAAATGGCATAAAGCCTTCTTAACCTAATGAATTTTATATTCTTTTAGGAGGAAGTAAATGGAATTTTTTATGGAAAAAATTAAATTTAAGTTAAGCCAGGGCTCTACAGATCAAAACCAATTTTCAGATATTATGGTCTGAAAACCAGACTCTACTTTCACTGATCTGGTGGAATTATGTGATTTATCAGGTTACTGTTGTTTTATCAATGAGAGCAGATTCCAACCATTTATACACACTGGTGACTCTAGAATACTAATCTCAAAGATGACCTTGGTAATAGAAGTTTCTGTTTCTAAAAACACATCCCAGACTTCACTTGGCACTGTGGAGGTTTCACATCAAATAGCCGAATTTGGGAAGGAATGAGTCGAAAACTTCCAAGCATAACAGAAAAATGTTAGCCCTTATTGAAATTCTTAAGGGAAAGCAAATTACAGACCACCTTTCCTTTTTTAGGAAGGTTGATAATATATTCATAATGGAAATGGAATGGCATGGACTTAACTAAAATTAAGAAAAGTCTCCCTTCCTCATAAATTTAGGAATTATGCCCTTAATTGTAAATTATGACTAGCTAACTCAACAGAGGTATTATTTTATTAATGAATTGTTTAGGGATTGTTTAAAAAAAATTTTTTTTTGATGTGTACATGTGTGCATATCTGCATGGTTATGTACCTTGGGAGGGCTGGGCATGGATTCCAGAGTGGTCAGTGAAGCAGAAGCAAAGAGATGCTGGTCTATCACGGGGTCTCACTTGGGACATACTTGTCCCAGGCCAATGAACTGGTAAACCACTGGCATGTTTGAACACTGATGATAACACCCTGCAGGTAGAGCTAGCCAGATGGACACACTCAATTACTATCACACCATTGCTCATTTATCCTTAGAGTTTTTATCTCTATTTCAAAGAGCTACTCCTGACAATCCATGTGGTTTAGTTTAGAAGACTATTTATAACATTCCTGGTGCTTGAACAGGACATCAATGTGATCACATTCTTATAGCTCAGGGAGAGAAAGCAGAGTCAATGTCTAGGTATCTGTGAATAATGTGTTTGTCTTCAGCTCTCCAGGCTTCTGCAAAGCCCATTTTTCTGCAAGCACTTACATATCTGTTATAAGTACATTTTGGTTCCACTATCCTATTAGCCTTGGAATTCACTGACAACAAATAGAAAAATATGAAAATGACTCATGTAAGCTGTGAACTACTCAAGAGTCATAAATTTAAATTTAAGTTAAACTTAAGACGGGAAGATTGCCTCTTAAATGGTAAATAAAACCTATTTTAACATGGTGTTTTCTAAAAAGTAGATTTTGCTTTAATATCTTGATAAATAAATGCCAGTCTCAGAGTTGAGCCAGACTACTTCTAAACTCTGATCTTATTAGTTTGGGGAGCAATTGGCCCAGCATCATACAGAAGTTTCACAAGGCTCATAAAATAACCTCTTCCCTGAGCCTCTGGCATCCAGGCATTCAAGTGCATGCAACTTTGTAATATTTTCACAGCAGGATCCTGCAGGCTTTGAGTGATGTTGCCATTTTCTGGAGTTCTCAGCAGTGCAGCTCTTCTACCCAGTTGCAAACAATTTCACTGATCAGTAGCTCTGGCTTAGCTTCACCCTCATAAATTTAATAATTCATTTGGCAGGTGCAAAGCAGACAGATCTCAAAAAAATGTGCAGATTCTTGGAAGAGCCAGGAAAAAGACTCACCAATTCTTTAGTTCCTTTTGGATCTCAACATTTAATATTGTTTTTAGTTCCAGCATGTTCAGCCACCAGGGATGTATTTTTTAATTCTTTAAATGGTATTCTTCTTTCTTCTGTAAAATGACTTCTATCTGTGGAATCCATATAAAAGCCATGGATATCAATAGGTTGCTAAATGTGGCCATGGAGCTGGGCCAGTGAAGCATGGGAACAGAGCATCAACTTAGTGTCTGTCTGGCACATTGCTGCAGGCACATCCAACTGTGATCATACAGAGACGTGTGTGTGTGTGTGTGTGTGTGTGTGTGTGTGTGTGTGTGTGTAGCCACACAGGGCCAGACTGTCTGGCCCAAATTCCAGCTCTGCTACTTACCAGCCGGGTAAGTAATCTTGGGTATGTTTTTAAGCCTCCTCGAGTCTCATCTTTAATTTGCAGAAACTGACCATCTCTCATTGTATGTGAGGAATGAACAAGTTAATACATGTAAATAGTTTTTTTTTTAACATGCCAGGCATACAAGAAGTTCTCAATAAATATAAACTCTTATCATTATAATTGTTATCTTCACTCTCATGAAGAGATCTGGCTATCATCTATAATTTTTTCCTATATTGCTAACAAATTGCTCTTTCTGTCTTTTTCTTGAACAGGTAAGATAGTCATATGGTAAAAACTCACATAAAAATAAAATATATACAATGAGAAGTACATCTTTTTTCATCTCTACCTCTTGCCTCCCATTTGGCTTCCCAGAGATAACCATGGTTCCATCTCTTAGATATCTTTCAGAGATATCCCATATGGTGAAATATATTTACTTAAATCCCCCACTTACAATTTTGAATTATCTTTTGAATACAAATAGAAGATAATTTTCCTTAAGGAAAAATTTTGTCTCATTAGTATCATTACCAGTGAAAATAATAGTAATCATAATGTGAATAATGACAGCTGTCTTTGCTGTGTAGCAAGAACTCTGCTAAATTCCAAACTGACAGAACCTTACTCAGTGCCTACAACTGCCCTCTGAGATGAATATTATTATCTCCCCCACTCGACGCATGAAGATACCGTGGTCAAGAGAGGCTAAGCCACTCTCTGAAGGTCACTCAGCTAACAGGTGGCTGTGCTGAATTTCGAACCCTGTGCACTTGAGACTCAAGAAAGTTTTCAGTAGAAGAAAGACATCTCCCAATCTTGGGTTTCTCTTTTGGAAACGCTTCATGAATCCTCACTTTGATTTTTATTCCCCTTTAAATGCCTTGGCCTGGGAGAAAGCATTCACAATTTGGACTCTTCACATGTCCCCCACTTCAGTTCATCCTGCCTTTGTAAAATTCTGCCTGTACCACGCCTGTAGTAGTTGGCATTATTCCCATAACTGATCACATTTAGCCCTGTTCATCTTTGGGTTTTTGGGTATGAGAACAGTCTGAGTTCCTAGAAGGCAGGGGCTATGTCTCCATTTCCTTGTCGCTAGGGTGGAAGACATTTCCTGGCTCATACTTTGCGCTGAGGAAGCGTTGAATGAATGAACAAATGGGTACAGGCAGTGTTTGACTATAAAGGGGACTTTGGAAATCAATTAGATTCATTGGATGTGGGCCCTGGAAGGCAACTTCAAATTCCCTGGTGGTAGAGAATCTTAAAATGTAAAATGAACAATTCTGGCCTTCAGCAAATCTCAGAGACCTAATTGTCTAGATATAATTAATTCCAAGGCATCCTGGTGAGGTAATGGCATGTGCATGCGAGGGCATCTTTTTTGAGCCAAAAATTTCTTCTAACGTGTCATGGGACAGTCCTCAGAAAGACTGAGGAGAAGGTGCTAAAAATTGTCATGCTTACTTTGATTTGTAGTGTCCTTGGGTTGTTTTGTCTTTGACCACTTACAAACTGATCTCACTGGGCAAACTGAGTCAGAGCAGCTTTTTAGATGTGTTAATACAATTTGTTTGTTTTTGAGGAAGAGGCTTAAGTATTCAGAACTAGAGGAAAGATAGAGATGGTTAGAGTTGGAAGGAGTTTAAATGAGTCCAGAAATAAATTAACAAAACAAGGCAAAACAATGGAACAGAAGAGAAGTTATGTTCAGCCACTGACCCCTATTTCCTCTCTAATTGCTTATCAGCTTTAGCGAAGCCCTTTTGTACTCAAGGAAGCCCCTTGGTACTCTCACAGTCCTTTCTTTTTCTCAGTGAGATCTCGCCCTCAGAAAACTGCTTGTAAATTTCTATAATGCTAAAGTGTAACTGACTATGTGTTGCAAGGGCAAATACAAATTATAAGTAAGATTCTTAATTCTCCCTGTTGAAAATAAAGAGACTTCCCTCCCTTTTCCTAGACCACTTACTTTAGAAAACTTATACTGTATGTATAAGTTCTTTCTCTTTTTGAAATGTATGTAAATCTTTTTAAAAGCAAAATAAGCCACTTGGCAAAATAGTCTTTCTCAAGGACCTAGGAACCGTGTCTTTCAAATGTAATCAATGAAGGTAGGTAGCACCATATCTCCCAGTTTCCGTGGGAGGGTAGGAACCCAACTTTGGTGAGCACCTTAATTCAAGTTACAAAACTATCTTCTTCCATAAAGATATGAGAAGCTTATTTTTTCTTTTGTACAAATCAATTAATTAACACAGGTAGATACCACAATTACCAGGGGATTTTAAGATGAACTATGTGTGAAAAATGGTGCCGTCAAGTCCTCTTACTTGAGGACTAGTTATTTTTTACCTTGAGGGCACGTGTAGAATGGGTTTATCGGCTTGGCTATATCAAAGCGTAAGATTTCATTCTGTCTTTGCAAATTCTTAGCAGACTATTTGTGATACGCATCACATTCTGGTTTAATGCTTATTCAATAACAAAATTGTTTTCTTCCTCTTCTAAGTTTGTGAAGAAGTTTTTTGGGTTGGGATGAGATTTTGTTTTTAATTATATTTTCCAATATAATATACTTTAGGTTCAGAGACATTTGTATTTTAACTGGTGCCAAACCTTTAAGATTAAAACACTGAATTGCTATAAACTTCCAAGAACCAGTGAACTAAAATGGGAGGTTTATCAGGAAGTCTGGGAAGAGACATGTGTTAAAGAAAAACTTAAAGCAAGTTAAATTTAACAGAGTTTATTTGAGCAATGAAAAGGCTCTAAAACAGGCAGCACTTCAGATGGAAGATGGTTCAGAATGGTGAGCTGTATTTATAAAAAGAAAGAGACAGGAAATTACTTATTACAGAGATTACCTGATTGTTGCAATTCTGCATTTGCCTTATTTGTGAGGAATTTGGCAACGTTCAACCTGGGATTGGCTACTATGGATTGAGACTCCATTGCTTGGTTACAAAGGCATACTCTTAGGTTAGGTTAGAACTTGCTTTCACGCCAAGCTGTGCTGCAGTTCACTACATAGAGAGAAACTTTGGCCCAAATTTTATTAACCAAATATGGAAGGTGCTTTGAGCTAAACTTAAATAAGTTTAACATATGATTCAGGGCCAGGTGTGGTGGCTCACGCCTGTAATCCAAGCACTTTGGGAAGCCAAGAGTTCGAGACCAGCCTGGCCAACATGGCAAATCCCCATCTCTACTAAAAACACAAAAATTAGCTGGGCATTGTGAAGGGGGCCTGGCTAAGGCAGGAGAATCGCTTGAACCCAAGAGGCAGAGGTTGCAGTGAGCTGAGATAGTGCCACTGCACTCCAGCCTGGGCAACACAGTGAGACTCCATCTCAAAATATATGTAAATAAATATAAATATAAATATAAATATATATATGATTCAGGAATACCTGAAGTTCTACACATTAACCAGTCTCTTGGGAGTGAGGAGCACTTTTCTTGGAAGGAAATAGCTGCCCTCCAGTATTTGGTAACAGTCTGCACAGGTTTGTAGCCTAGGAGCAATAGGCGATACCATATAGCGTAGGTTATGTAGTAGGGTCCTTCATCTTTGTTTGTGTAAGTACACTCTGTAATGTTTGCACAAGGATAAAATCGCCTACGGACGAATTCCTGGGGATGCGTCATCAAGCGAGGCATAGCTGTGGTTTCTTACCTGCTTTCTCTGTGGCTTCCACCTTCCATCCGTAAGGCTACTTTCCACAGAGTACACAGAGTCATCTTTTTAATATGCCGAATTACATAATTCTATGCTAAACCCTCCGAAGATTTCCCATTCCTCTTAGTACGTCAGTGACGGTAGATATTGAGACCACCCGATGGAAGAAGAGCGCGTAGGATGTGTTCTGTGACCTACATGCCTATGTCCAAGATAACAAAGGTCAGTACAAATGGGAGTAGAAGGTTGTCATTTCACCTGTTATCCCCTAGATGGTAGTGTGGAACCGCGCAAACTTCTACCTCCGTTGTGATTTCTATGGGGCATTGATGGTGCAGTTATTTTAAGTTGAATCTTCAGGCAGCCTGAACTAAAATCGACAGGAGTTCCTACTTTTTTTCTTTCTTTCCTTTTCCCGCTCCCTTTCTCCTTTTTCAAGAGTGCTAATTGTAGCTTCGAAAACGTGCGCGCGCGCACATACACACGCATCCCAAATGGCAAAATTCTCAAGGTGCTAGATTCTCTCAGAAAAGCACGTCTGCTGTTCCTGAATGTAGACTAAACAGGGTTTCACGTCCAGGAGATGGGGGCTTAGGGAGGGGATCTTCCAGGGAAAGCATTCGAGCTCCCTGGAGCCACGACTCCCTTTAGTGGCTTGTGTCTGCAGTTGAGGGCTGCCTGGCAGACGCCCGGACATTTGGGAAAACAGTCCAAGGTCTTGCAAATTTCATCCAAATTCATCACTGTTACAAAATGCTGCTGTTTTCTTTCTTTTTCCTTTTTTTTTTTTTTTTTTTTTGAGACGGAGTCTCGCTCTGTGGCCCGGGCTGGAGTGCAGTGGCGCGATCTGGGCTCACTGCAACCTCCGCCTCCCGGGTTCAAGCGATTCTCCTGCCTCAGCCTCCCGAGTAGCTGGGACTACAGGCGCCCGCCACCACGCTCGGCTAACTTTTTGTATTTTAGTAGAGACGGGGTTTCACCGTGTTGCCCAGGCTGGTCGCGAACTCCTGAGCTCAGGCAATCCGCCCGCCTCGGCCTCCCAAAGTGCTGGGATTACAGGCGTGAGCCACCGCGCCCGGCTTCCTTCTTTCTTCTGAGGGTGAACTTCTCTAAATGTAGAAACATTCAGAGAATAGGTGGTCACAGGAGAGCAGGTTTGCGCTGGCAGTGAGGGTGGGGTGGCTGGTTCAGAGAACAGAACACACCGGAGCTGTTGATCATTTCCCAGGGAATGGGAATGGAAACAGAGTCACAGGAGCTCCTAGTTGCTGTCGTTTCTTTCAATCAGTGGTTTTTGTGGAGGCAAGAGGCTCCATTGAGCTTCCCGTGGGCATTAGGCTACATAATTTGCAGGTCCTAGAGAAAAATGAAAGTGCTAAGCAAAACAAAAACAAAAAACAAAAACAAAACAAAAAAAAAACAACAAAAAAAAGAATTTTAATACTGGGACTGCAGAGCATTAAACCAGATTGGTCCTCCCAAGGACAGGACCCTATGTGACCACCGCTCTGTTCACACCCATAAAGCCCGTAAAGCTCTGCCACCGGGCATCCACCTTTCCCCCATATTCAGTGCGATATGCTTGTATTTAGCCTTGTCTGTATCTCACTTTCTTAAGCTTTAGGGAGCATTGATTGTGGTATCTTGGACCTACAGGAGAGGTTTTCTCAACAACCTGTGAAAGGAGCTGCTCGCTTTGTAGAAACCATGCTCCTAACCCCTCTTTTTATTCATGTTAATTTAATGTCTGCCTTGATATTGTTCAAAGGAGCTTCCTCAAAATTGGGTGTTTCTGAAGCCTAGGAACAGACGCCTTCTGTTTTGTTCTGAAACAGGCTTCTAAGGAGGAGAATCCTCGATTTGGAAGGGCCCAGGTGAGGCCATGGTTGAACTCAGACCCAAGAAGAGAGAGGCTTTTTATCTGCCTAAAAGCAATCTTGTTTTGGTGACAATGTGTGGGTGGGTGTTTGGCTCTTTTTTAATGCAAGGAAAAGATGTTAAGTTTCAAAAGTAATTTTTGTTTTTCTTGGTCCAAAGTTTTCCTTCTTCCTTTTGGACAACATTCACTTAACTTTCTGCCATAAGTTAATTCAATTATTCTTTGACTACAAATGGATAAGCATGAATTTCATTGATGTGATCAATTTTTAGTAATTACACCACCTTCACATGTGAGATTTCACTAGTCCTTACAGCATCCATGTAAATAGACCTTCTCATTGCCATTTTCCAGAGGAAAAATGGCGGTTCAAAAGCATCAAGTGAATGACTCCAAGATCACACAGCTAGGATAAGGTGGGGGACTTACTCAGGTCCATGCAGACCCCCTTATTCCATATTCATGCCTGCTCCACCATACCATGGTGCCATTTCCAGAAATAATTTCTTGGTATAGGGATATCAAAGTTCGACTGTTAATCCTTACAAATTAGAGTCTGTACTTTTGTAGCCAAAAAATGGTTTTATGGTATATTAAAATAAAATTTAGTCAGCATTGCTTTCCTCTTGAAAACAGACTGTGAATTCCCAAAAGATAGGAATAGTTTTGGCTTCATTTTTAGAACAGTTTCCTACACAGGAGCCCACCTTGAATAATCCAAAAACATGCTCACTGCACCTTCCTTCATCAGCCAAAATCCATTAAGTAATATACAGAAAGCTTAAGTCCAGCATCATTTATTTGTATTTCAGAGATCTAGCTTCAATAAGTAAGATGATCTGTAAAATATCTAACATATAAGAGACCTTCGGTTCATCTGTCCCTTCGTCAATGTTTCACAATTGACAAATATTAACTCACCTCACATCATGTCTCCAAAGTGTTAGAGACGACAGTAAACAACACAGACGTCACTGGGCTCATGCAGCTTACATTCTAGTGAGGAAGACAGAGGATAAACCATTGTTAAATGTATACATCAGAAAGTTATAATGAGGACAATGAAGAAAAAGAAGAGACAGTAAGAACACACAGGCAGATGAGAGTTGAGTGCCATTTCAGTGAGGGTGTTTCTACTGCGATAACATTTGGGTAAAGACTTCAATGAACTTGGAGAATAATAAGTAAATATTAGTCATAATAACTTCTTTTCAAGAGCATAACACCTTATAACTTTTGATGGTGACCTTTCTTCCCAAACGTTTATTAAGACCAATACCAATGTTTGCTCTGTTACTAGTCTAGTATCATATAAAGTTGCTATAAAGCATCCAAAACCTCTCTTTGTTCAAATGCAGATTTTCCTGGCATATCAGCATCCCCCTTGTAGGCCCCTTGCCTCCTGCTGGCAAGCCAGCTGACAAACTCCAAATGCTGACTCTTGGCTTCCTTCAATTTGTCCTCCACACCTGTGGCCTGGGTCCTTCCTCGTGTGGTCATGTGGTTCCATGTTTTGTGTCTCAGACGCAGAAACTTTTTGGAGAGAAATAAGCACAGTGCATATGTAGACATTTTGATTCTCCCCAGCTAGAGAAAAATATACGCATCGGATAGTTAGAAATTTGGAAACTGATTCAGATTACAATGAAAACATTAAAAGTCTCTTTACAGAAGATAGATATTTGCCAACTTTAAATCAAAAAATCATAGTATTATGAGAATTATAATTGCAGGGCAAGCATTTAATTTAATTCAGCCCTGAAGTTCTGCTTTCTAGGATGCACTTAAAACTGTCAGGGGAAGTCTGTTTTAAGACAAATTAAAGGGAGGTGAATTTGCACCTGTGTTTTAAAAGAAAGAAATTAAACTCATGGATTTGGAACCTAAAATGTTAAATAGAGAGAGCAAGGTGGGAGCAAGTAGACAGGAGGAGCTAAGTGACAATGCAGGGAGGGATCTTGGAGTTTGAATAATGTGACCAGCTTTAGAGACCACCAAGTTCAACTACAAGTGGAGCCCTCAGTGAGCAGCCTCAACGGATTGTTTGTATTAACAGGTTAACTTCATTGTCTTTTTCCCACGTGATTGATTTTGATCTAGCTTTTTGTCTTCACACTATATTTGATCTTAAATCCCCCCAGTCTATTTCAGTTTATTGCTTCTCCGTTTCTCTGTGCTGCACTGGAGGTAATTTTCTCATCTGTCTTTCAAATAACAGATTATCTCTTTTGAATTGTCTCACTTACTGTTTGACGATTTTATGAACAGTTTTTCATCTCTAGAAGTTCCCTTCGTTCTTTTCGAAGTTTACTTGTCCTTTTTTCATAACATTCTGCCTATCTTTTGTCCCTTCCTCTCTCTTCAGACATGTTCGGCATGTTTAGTATTATTGATATTTCTTTGGGTGTGAAGTCTCTCCTAGGTTGCATTGCCCAGTCAGTTCTCACACTGGTAGGTTTCTTCCAGTGCTGTCTGTTTTATGCCCACCTTCAGTGGGAGTTGTCTTCTTTCACCACCCCCTTTGGACAGGATTTCAATACTGACTTATTATTATCATTATTATTTTGAGACGGAGTCTCGCTGTGTCACCCAGGCAGTGGCGCGATCTCCGCTCATTGCAGGTTCCGCCTCCTGGGTTCACGCCATTCTCCTGCCTCAGCCTCCGGAGTAGCTGGGACTACAGGCACCGCCACTACGCCCAGCTAACTTGTTCTGTATTTTTAGTAGAGACGGGGTTTCACCGTGTTAGCCAGGATGGTCTCGATCTCCTGACCTCGTGATCCGCTCGCCTCAGCCTCCCAAAGTGCTGGGAGTACAGGCTTGAGCCACTGCGCCCAGCCAATACTGACATTTTTTATACCAGCTTCTCCTCTTGGATTTTCATACCACTTGAATACACAGAATGTGGGTCTCACACTTAAAAACAGGGCAGGCTTGGGGTTCTGCATGCATAATAATCACTGTTATTTACCTGAAGCTCAAGAGGGGAGTCAATTTTCTTTTCTTTTTTTTTTTTTTTTTTTTTTTTTGAGATGGAGTCTCGCTGTGTCGCCCAGGCTGGAGTGCAGTGGCGCGATCTCGGCTCACTGCAAGCTCCGCCTCCCAGGTTCACACCATTCTCCTGCCTCAGCCTCTCGGGTAGCTGGGACTACAGGCGAGGGGAGTCAATTTCCAAGGTAAGCCCTGGAGCAAGTGGGGAGAGGTTTCTGTTTGTTTGTTTGTTTGTTTGTTTGTTTGTTTGAAGTTTCTGATTTAGACAGGATCATCCCCTATTTTTGGCTTTTGGTTTTTTGCAGAAAGGGTAACTCCAGCTCTCCCCCAAGAATGGCCACAAAACTAGTTGAAGATTGAGTGCTAAAATCATACTCCCTCACATCTGTACTAGTTTCAGGTATCTCCAAGGACTTCTGCAACTTCACCTGATTCTCAGTGTTGTGGTTCTCAGTTTTCTGCCACACAAAAAGTTCTCTTTCTTGCTTCTGAGCTTGACATGAATTTGAAAGGTTTATTTTTAAATTGCACATATAATTTATAAAATGTTTGGAACCAGGGAACTGGGGATCGAACCAACCTGTCTTCTTCACTAGAAGCTTCTGAACTAATTCTTTATGTAATTATAATTGGTGGCAGTGGCAGCCCATCGGCAGTGCTGCGGCAAAGATGCCAGCTGCAGCAGGGGAGCGTGGTCAGGGCTGCGACCTCCACAGTGCCCATGGGAGACGGGAACAGGTGGAAGCCCCGCCCTCTTCTAAGTTAGAGGGGAGGGAGCCCCGTCCTCCCTGGTGCTGCTGCAGCCACCCAGCCTCAGCTATGGACCCAAGTATCCCTGCACTCTCCGGGATTTCGGAAGCACCCCCAGGACCCTGCAGTCTCAGTAGTGCTGGGTTCCGACAGAGCCCGAGCTGGACACTGGTCCGGATGATCTGCCTGTGGAAAGGAGCCACCCACTTCAGGTCTCCTGAGAGCTGTTTTGTTGCTCAGGGAACCTCCTTTCTGCCTTGCTCACCCTCCAGTTGTCCACACACCTCATTCTCCCTGGACGCAGGACAAGAACTTGGGACCCGCTGAATGGCAGGACTGAAAGAGCTGTAACACAAACAGGGCTGAAACATGCCCCCACAGACTCACACACCCTCCAATTGCCACACTGCGTCCATGAGAAGGAGAGAACAGCTGTGGCCCTTTGGGAAGCCCAGACCTAGAGGCTCCCCAAGCCAGGGCTGTGACAGCCTCTTTGGGGCTCAGCAGTTCCTGGTGTCTCCAAGCTTCCAGGAGCCACCACATTCTCCTCCTTCAGACATGGGTGCCCACAGGGGAAGCCGTGTGTGGTACATCTGGTCCAGCCACAGCCTCGCATATAACCAGCATCTGTGCGGGCGTCTGGAGCTGCCCACCCCTCCGCAGCAGCCGGCATACCTGGCTGTGCGCGGTGGCTGGACCCCGCGCTTGCTTGCTCGCACATCCCTCACCACTCTGCGCCTGGCTCGTCCTTGGCAGGTGTGGGATCTGGGCTGGTATTGCAAGCCAAGCACAGTCTGCCAGGCCGAGTGCGTGGAATGAGCCCAGCGGGCGCAAGCAATACTCAGGAAGAAGGCACCACCAGCTACAGAGGTTTCTGGATGGCAAAGCAACACTCCAAAGATTCCATGACATAATGAAGAACCTGATACTAGGTAGCTTACCAGTCACAAAGCCTGAACCCAGAAAAGGGAATGGTAACTTATTGGTAATGAATTAATTAGCTATTAATGTCCTCTACATAAAGCAGATTTATAGTTTGAAAGAAGTAATCAAAACATCTGCTGAAAATGAAAGCAAAGTACTTATTGAATGGAATAGAGTATCATCATTGCACTTCCCAGAGACAAATTTCATGCCTGTATATGCACCTGTTCTAACACAAATTCTTTTGTGCCTCTCTACAAGATGGGATTGAAGTCTTGGTATTCCTAATAGCCCACCATGTTTTACTTATGTGCTGGACGCTCACTTTTTTTCATCATTGCTAAGTCTAAATTCTAGCAATCTCAAATTAAACAGTGATTCCTCTTTCTCATGACCTAAAAGATAGGGTATGAATTGGTTGCTTATCATACCTGTGGTACATCTGAAAGTATGAGAAAATCAATTAATGAAAAAGTTGTGAACAAATGGTAGCAGTTTAACACACTGGTATGAGACGTATTTTAATAAAACAAAGTTTAAGTATCTCTTTTTCTGTGCTTCCAGACAAAACAAATATGGTTTAAGACCTTCTGACATGTATTCTAGGGAGCACTCCAAATTCTTGAGAGGACCTTGGACATATGTCAAGGAGTTAAACAGATATCCTCTGGAGTAGCTGAAACTGAGACAGCTAGAAGTCTGCAAGAGAAATGCATTCTGTCTATCCTAATAAGACACCCTGGGCAGTGAAAATGAACATGGGCTTTGTACGAAGCCCCAAATCAAGAGTCACAAGGGCATAAATTGCTAATTAAGTTATGATTATGATTTGCAATTGAGATGCTTCTCACATGGGCAACTTTATGTGTTGTCCTTCAGGATAAATATCAAAGGAATACTTTATTTAATGTTGAAAATAAAAAAAGATACTATTGAAAGATAATGGGTAATTATTCTCTGAATATAGTTGGATATGCCACCTAGTTGAGAAAAAATATTTTTTTCTACCAATGTTCAAAAAGAAAACATCATTGAAGAGCATGTTTTGAATTCAAGTTAATTAAAATATTTTATTTTTAAAAGACCAACCTGGTATTGAAATAATATTTGATTTAATTTCCCCAAGCCAGCTTTGAAGGTTTCTGTCTATAGTTATTGTTAATTTCAAAGCTCAGTCTGTCAGTAGAAATACAAGTAGATATGAAAACAGTGAAGCATGATGAAGAATTTCTGCCTTCTACTGTTAAAGGGATCTATTTTTTTAGCTTCTTGCTATTTCTTAGCTCAAAGGCAATGCTAGGAAAGCAAAGCATTTGGGGTCAAAAGCATTTTTTCAAGCTAAAAGGAATGATCTCCTCAAAAATTGTCCTAAGTATGCAAAGTAAGGTGAGAGAGGGAATGTTTTTAAAGTGAGAAAAAATTCCTTACCTGGGGAAATTCCTCAGGGAAGTTGGTAGGTGGAGATGAAAAGGAATAAATAAATCACATTTCTCAGTGACTAGTACTGGGAAGTCAGAGGATGGCTGAAATAATCTCTTGTTATCATCGCTTAAACTTCTATGATTTGATTAAGGAGAGCCCCAAGGAATTACTTTTTAAAGCATGATAACACAAATCATCATATTTTCTAAGTAGTGTCAATGAAAGTTTCTTCCTTTTCTTTAACCCATTGCTTTATTCTTACACCTTTTCTTTCTGACAGAGTTACTCTCTGAGCTGCTTATTTGGTGTGAAGGCAGAAACTCCTTATCAAAAAATATTAAGTGAGTCTAAATATTAAAATTGTGAACAGATTAACTCAGGCATGAAGAAAATATATTTTCCAAAAAATAAAGTGAGATGAACATGTGTTAAACGAACTTGAAAATAAAAACATTAAAATGTGTGTCAGCACACTTACATCAATTAATATTCGATTTTAAAGGCTATATATGGAGCAGTTGGTATTCAATTTAAGAAAACTTTCCTGAACTTTAGTATTTTATGGCAAGTACTTCATTTTCTCTTTGTAGACCTAATGAAATAGTCATAAGAGACCTGAGAGATTTCAAAGGAAATGAATACAATAAAATATTCTTAATTTATATTAATTGATGGGAATTAATTAATAGGTATTTATTAGATACCCACTAAGTCCTGTGCTTTGGGGCATATAATAGTCCTTGCTCAAAAATGCTTACAACCTAATTGTGATTATAAAATTAAGTGTCAATGAATATAGGGAATCATTGAAAACTAGTTGGCTGTCCCTGACTGCAAATCTATGTGGATATTAAAACAGAGAAAACATCTTTTGAATCAGAATCATCTTGAGTGGCTCAGTACATCAATGTGAGTGGTTTCTTTTACACTTCCAGAAGGAAAGGAAACCTTTCCCTTTCTAGAGCTAAGTCCTCTTTTTCTGTTGACTGGGGCAAGGGAGTAAGTTATTCAGAATCATGGAAAGTTTGGGAAAAAGAAAGCAAAGGAGAAGATGGAGATGTTGTGGTAGGGAATTTCTGTGTACCTATTGGTGCTCTAAATTAATCAAGTCTGACTTATAGGAATAAGAAGAAAAAGAAAACACTGTTTCATTGCCTTAAACTCAATACAAAATTCTGTTTACTAAGCACTGGGACCAAGATGCGTCCTTATACATTTGCTTCAGTGTCAAGGCTTGGTTTTCCATAGATGGTTTATTTGAACTTGGATGGTGCTTTAATATCCAAAAAGAGTTTTTTTTTCCACAATGTCATCTTTTCCTTTTCAATTTGCTTGACAATAATACTTTTTTAAAGAATGAAAAAATAAGCATTGGCCACATTAAGGAAAACAGTCACAAATTGGAGCTCTGAACTTATAATGATGCTATATTTTATTTATATGACTTTTTACAGGTGACTTATTTATTTATCATTTAAAGAAGAGTTTTTGAGCCTCTACTATATGCCAGATACTGTTATTAGGTTTTAGGGACATATTGGGGAGTAGAGATGGAGTAGTCAATAAGACAGCTACCATCTGCTTTCATGGAGCATGGTTAAGGAGTGAAGACTGAGCAGAGGAAAAATCAATGAAAAGCAAGAAAACAAACAGAATAATCTTGGGTGCAGATAAGTACTATGAAGATAAAGAAGCCAGGTGATGGGTCAATGTGGTGGTAAAGGGCGCAGGTAGAGCTCTTTTGGAAAAAGGGAAGAGGGAAGGCCTCTCTGTGGAAGTAACTTTCAAACTGAGACCTGGATAATGCCAAGGGCAAGCCAGGAACTGGGGAGAACATTCCAGGCAGAGGGAGCAGCAAGAGGAAATGCCATGAAGCAAAACTGAACTTGGTTTGTTTGAGGAAAGTGAAAAAGGCCAGTGTGGCTGTCATACAGGGACTGATAGGTAGTGGTTTGAGATAAAAATCAAAGAGGCAACATAGCCTAAATCATGTGGGGTCTTGCAAATTGTAATAAAAACCTTTTCATTGTTTAATTGGAGGTACAAAGTGAAAGTACTGGAAGGTGTGAGTAGGAGAGCAAAGGGTATTTATGTTTTAAAAATATTGTCCTGGCCACTCCTTGAAGAGTGAACTGCAGTGACAAGACAGGAAACAGGGAGGAAAGTTGAAGGACACTGACATGCTCCAGGGGAACATCCTCTGGCCATTCTCATTTTTGGTGGAATAGACGGGGAGTCAGAGAATAGCTAAGTGAGATCTCCTGAGTCCAGAGGTCTTTTCCTTTCCTCCCAAAGTGTGAACACAGTGAGGCTGGGAGTCTCTGAGCCTCTGCGCCTCAGAAGGAAAAGCAAAAGATTTGATGATGGAAGATTTAGCGCAGGCCCTGACATTGCCACCTACAAGCTGAGAGAACCTGGGGAAGCCACTTCATGTTGAGTTTCTGTGGATATGAAATGTGACTCTCATGAGAAATGATAAGACATAGTCATAAAAGAAATACCTATGCTAGTTAAATTATACAAATAGAAGAGTATAAATTTCATAAAAGTCTTTAAAATTTAAAAGATGGAAAGGATTAAAAGTAAAGAGAGCCAGGGGCTGGTTTGCTTCCCTGAGTTTTAAAAATTGTCTAAGTTCAGGCTTTAAATGGATCAGCAATATACTGACTCTGCTATCACTGGCTCGAGGCTGATGAAAAGGTCAGTGATCTAGAACAAAACTATCTTCCCTGCTGACTCTGGGAAACTCATATCTTGCAGGAGAGAGAAGATTTACATAGAAAGATAGGCAGACAAGAATGGAGGTTAGAAGGAGTAATGTGGCTCATTCGACAAGTGACACGAGGGGAAGGGAACATCATAATTTCTCTTGGTATTTGTTAGTATGCCATTTATTCTACAGAGGGCTGGCAACATGTTTTATGATTTACAGAGCTTGTTTGCACCTGAATGTCCAAGCTCACAAGGCTGCATTTACTTAAGTCATAGCAGCTAGAAAATTCCATGGGGGACTAGCAGGCTGGTGTGGAGACAATTGCACTGGTTACTTGGTATCATGTTGATGAAAACCCTGTGGTTTTGGATTGAATGTTTTGCTTTGCATCCAGGGTACATTTGTGCTCTGTTGGCATAGCTTAATGCTGATGAGCTGAATCTGGAAAAGAAAGATTGTTGTCTCACCAGTTGGCTCTGGGCCATTTTGATGCTTAAAGAAATATTGATCTTGGAACTTCTAAATGCAAGCTGAGAGTGGACACAGGGAGCAGGTATTGACTTCTTTGACAATTTAAATAGATCATTCTGGAAAAATATAACTATTGAAGTCCAACCCATTTTAAAAATTGTTGAATTTAGGTTTAGAATCAGAATGCCTATGACTAGGAATAATTGCATGAATTGCTTTACTTACATGAAGAAAAAATCTGTTAGTTACCTTCCAGATGTTCAACCTTACCTAAATAATTTCTCTTTGAACCTTAGTATTCTCACTAAAGAGAAGGAGAGTGATAAGATACCTTCTCTGGCTTGCTATGTTGGATAAATGCAATAATATATCTGTAAGAACTGAGTGTCTGACAAATAGTGGGCATTATATATATGTGAATTTCTGACCAGGTCCAGAATGGTGTGTTAATGGTGAGGCATTTGGCAGTGCAAAGTTTGGTTTGAATATTTAAGATCATAAGAATATTGACCTTTGGCTACATTGTATATGGGCTTTAAATTTACTAATACTGAGATACTGAGCTGGGGTATAGATTTAAAGCGAGAGATAAATGTTTTCTCAATAGTCAGTTATCTGAGTAGATTCCTAGAAGTTGGAAGGAGCCTGTAATAGTGGAGTGAGCATGTCCTTTCATGTCAGTCATTCTTTGTTTTGAATCCTGACTGTGCCACTTACTAGTGCAGCTCTATGTCCATAGTAGATGGGAGAAGTTGTAAAGTTTGGAGCTTTCAACTATTTAAGACAGTTTTTTTCTGTCTCTGATACATTGTTTGATTCAATGTGTAGGATGAAAAATGGCCTTTGTTAATGCTATCTTTTATTATATCCCAGGACTCTAAAGCCACGGATTCAGGAAGGGGAGGGCCTAGTAGCCAGAATACTTAACTCCTTATTTTAAAACTTATCATCCCATGTCATGTTGTCACATGACTGCTAGATACCTGTGAACCATTCTGATGAATTTCAACTAAGGTGAGCATGGTTGGGGTGACTAAATATATGACCTCTCTGAAGGAATATTTGTAAAAGTTGAAGAATTTTAAAGCGAAAGGAGTTAATATTAGAGAAATGCTTAGCCCTATATCAAGATAACTTTGGTAAATATTTTTATGTAGGAGATGTTAGCAACTTTCAAATTATATTGCATATAGTTTAGATACAGGGATTATGTTAAATCTAAATATAAAGTTGTTTCAGCATAAAGCCAGTCAATGATGCCAAAATTATTTCAGTCTGAGTTTTACAAGTTCTACCCACCTTCAGCCACAGCAGAGTGTTTATGTATTAAAAGAAAGATTTATTCTTTCTATAGACATTTGTTGAACACCTATCATCCTTCTAGTATTGGAGATAGTGGATGCAGAGATGTAGCTGTCCCCACTCCCCGCACCCCCTCCACACTAAATTTAAACCTAAAAGGAAAAGACAGCTAATTGAAACGACAAATTAAATGATAGGATGGAGAGGTACAATCTCCAAAGAAGGGGACCTAATGGCCCTTTCTTTGGTACAATCTCCATTTAACAGAGGACCTAATGGCCTCTGGCTGGTCAGGATGGGCTTCTTAGAGGCTGCTTAAGCTGAGGGTGACAGGAGGAGTGTGGGGATTCATTAGGCGGAGAAGAGTTAGGAGCAGACAGAGCAAGTGTCCTAGGAGTTTGCTGTGAATTTTATACTACTCACCAATTAAAGTGATGCAGCCTATAATTGTGAAAATGAACTGTATTTTCTCCTTTTCATGAATCTTCCACCAAGTCTAAGATGATAGTAAATGTTGTTAAAACCTTTAAGCACCTTACTGTCCTCATTACTGGATAATTTAAGCAGCACCAGAGTTGACCATTTTGCAATACTTTTTCTCTTTGTTTCCACAACACTATTCTCTATTTTTTTTTCCTCATATCTTATTGGCTACTCTTTCTCATTAACTTTTGTTTGACTTATAAATTTTAAAGCCTGTCAGGACTTGATCCCAGACAACCTCATTTCTGTGTTTATATTCCTTCCCTGAGGCATCTTGTGAATTCCACACACTGCTACAGCTTCACCCACCATCCATAAGCTTATGACTGCCAAATCTGTCTTTCCTTCCTGATCTCTCTTTGGCTCCATATTTGTGTATTAAAATGCCTACTGATTGCTCTCTCTCTCTTTTTTTAAAACAGGATCTCACTTTGTCACCCAGGCTCTTGAGTGTGGCATCACGGCTCACTGCAGCCTTGACCTTCCAGGCTCAAGTGATACTCCTGCCTCAGCCTCCCAAGTAGCTGCGACTATAGCCATGTGCCACCACGCTGGGCTAATTTTTTAAAATTTTTGTCGGGACTAAGTCTCGCTATGTTGCCCAGCCTGGTCCCAAACTCCAAGGTTCAAGTGATCCTCCCACCTCGGCCTCCCAAAGTGCTGGGATTACAGGCATGAGCCACCCTTCCTAGCCTGACATGTCTATTTTGATAGAGACAAATCAAACTTTTAATAGCCAAAGTAGAATTCATGATTCCTCCCCAAGCATTCGTCCATTCATCTCTATCCCTCACCACCTGCCTTCTCCTGTGTAATCCATGAAGTTTTGTTGATTGCACTTTTAAGTCATTAACTTGCATCCTTACTACAGTCCTGATACAATTACTGTACCATCCTTTCTTTCCTAGAGAAAAAGCCTCTAAACTTGCCTGCCTCTGTCTACTTCTGCCGCCTTACAGCCTATTCACTACAAATCGCCAAAGTTATCTCTTAAAATTGTAAATCAACTCATATTCTCCCACCGCTTAAATACCTCCAAATACTTTTCAGTGCACTTAGCATAAAAATCTACAGTTTTCATCTTGGATTTCAGGGGTGCAGGACTGTCCCTGCCTCTCTTCCTGAACTCTTCTCTTACCTGCCCCCCACCACCATGCTCACTATGTCCCATGGTCTTCTTTGTGTCCTTCCACATTTCAAATTTCTTCCCATCTTTGTCCCTATACATTATTGTCCTCTCTATTTGGAATGCTTGTGCCTCTGTTGATTGTATGCAAAGAAGGGTTTTAATTTCTTCTCATTTCAGCTCGCACCTTAAATGTTATTTCAGAGAGCCCTTCTCTGATCAGTCTATTTACAGGAGACTGCAGCTCTTTCTGTGAATGGATTATAGGGATGTCATGGTACTTATACAATATATTCTGTAGCATCATTATCTGGGTCTAGAGCAATAACCCACAATCAAACTTATCAATATTTCAGGGAAATTTTAGAATGTTCATATTGAGTAGGATAAGGACTTTATGTCAGTCCAGTCACATTTTGCTGGACACACAGGAGAACACTGCAGATTTGCCCAAACTCTCCTTTTGGATGTGGCAATTCTAAAACTAATAGAGTGGTAGAATTGAAGAGGAGAAAGGCCAGTGAATTGCAGGTTCTCATTAGACTTGATTACATTTTTGCTTCGGTGGGCTGTCTTTTTTTGCTGAGTTTCATCTTAAGACCCAATTTGAGTCTCATTCAACAAAAGATTACCATGAGAAAAATAATTGCACAAAAGTAGAAGATAAAAGGTTGAGAGTGATTATATTTGACAGTGTTTATTCATATGGTTATTTAATGTAGACCAGTTTGAATTTATAATAAATCAGATATCCAGTTTGTGTTTTTCTTCAGTTTTCTGAAAAAAGGCTTAAATCTCATTTAAAATTTTAATCAACTTCCAGAAGATAAACTTTTACTTTTTGTTTAATTTTATAAAACAATTGATATAATGCAGTGATATAATAATCTTTGATCTAACACCAAATGTGTAGGGTTGCTTAATAAAGTAATCTATTATGCTATTTGTATGATACGTTTTTCAGTGTTAAACCACTTCATGTTTTTCATGTATCACTATGTAGATCCTGAAATGATTGAATAGGAATAGAGTTACTGAGCTTTTGGATGTCTTTGGAACCATTTCATTTCTAGTCTTGCTCTACATTAAATGATGTGTGCTTTATTTATTTATTTTTAAATGATAGGAATTCAACTTTGGATGCTGAAATAAAGTCCCATGGAAGCAAAGTGAATTTCCTATAGAAATATGATTTCTATGCCCATTTGTCATGAGCTGACTGGCCTCAGAGTGGGGTGCAAAATTTTGTACATACATTAATGTCTGGTTTCTCCACAATTGAGAGGTTAACTCTGAAATTACTAAAATCAATTAAGATGATTCCAAATGCCCAGTGGATTATGCCACAGTAGAAAGTGTTAAAGTGAAAAAATCAGGTTTTGCACTATTAGCAAAATTGTGCTGAGACACCAGAACACCAGAGCATAACTCATTGAAACTCAATTTTTTTCCTAGTTGCACAGAAAAATAACAGTCTTTTAGAAAGCTCTATTCATGCGGAGGTAGTCATTACTGATTTTGAATTCTGAGTTTTTGCTGTTTGCCCTGCCTGCCAGATATTTCACAGGACTAATTTTTTTCACCATTAGGATATCTTGGCAAGCAATGTCATAACAATAGACTTTTTTCTTTCTATTTCTTAAAATTCTTAATGTATTCCCATCCCCAGCCCCCAACAAAAAGAGCCTCCGTGAGAAGCAAATTTCTCTACATAAAGACTTTCCTATCATAAAAGCCTTCCCATGATGATCAATCACAATAATTTGTAGTTATGGTAATGTGAAGAATTAAGAATCATCCATTTAGGCCAGCAACTCCTTGCTATGTATCACTTTCCAAATTAGTAAATAGTAAATTATTAAATTAAGATTGTGTTTGAAGAACAGTTATCCTTCAATATTTAATTTATTGGTGAAACTTAATAAAACAGTTTGTTATAAGATCACCTAATTTTGCCTAATGTACTTGTGTATTTAATGGATATAAGAAATAGATTGTCACTTGGCACTGAAGCCTACGAGGCACAAACTTTGTAATACAGTAAGTTCTCACTTAACATCATCCATAGGTTCCTGGAAAATGTGACTTTAAATGAAATAATGTATGATGAAAGCAATGTTACCATAGGTTCATTGATATAAACAACATTTAACTTCTTATGGCATATTCCTGGTCACAAAAACACCACCAAATATCTAAATAAAGATCCAAAGCACGTCTAATATTAAATATTGAAATAGACGTGAGTTATTGTTATCAGAATATCAGGCTCACCACACAGAATGACAGTTACGGAGACAAGTACTGCCAGGGAAGGCTTTAATCAGGTGCCGTAGCTGAGGAGAAAGGGAGATAACGTCTCAAATTCATCTCCCAAACCAGCTCAACTTGGGGGGTTTATATAGTGGGGAAGTGGGAAAACAAGAATTAAGGAGGGATAAGAAAGCAGTCCTGATGTATGAGGGGTCTGGTGGCTCACTGAATGTAATCTGATAAGTTTCAATTTCTTGCCTGAGAGTGAGTTTTGAGGAAGAAACTCAGGTGAGACAAATGTAAGTTTCATGTTTTAGGGTCAGGGAGGGTCAGTTTCTATGTTTATTTTTAGAAACCCATAAATATTCGTTCTATGAGACAATTGGGCCTGTTTCAGTATACATTTCACTATGCATTTAAGAAAGGTTAATAAAAACAAACACAATCATTATTTAACTTGCTGCCAGCTTTTGGTGAATCAGTGAGTGATGGTGGTCGTAGTGGTGGTGGGTTAAATCAAAGAATAAATGTTTGCAAAATGAAAATTGCAGGGAAATTCTCCTCCCACTATGCAGTTCAAAAGCAAACAAGAACAAATACTGCTGTAGGAGACCCAGAGATCACCTCTCTTTATCTCTTATGTGGGCTGTTTGGCTGAATCAAGAAACCAAATTGACACCAGGCAGATTAACAAGAGGAAAACATACAAATTTTATCAGTTTTACATGTATATGGGGATCTTCACGAGTGAAGTCCAAAGATGGCCAAAGGATGATGCTTTTATCCTTTTTAGACAAAGAACAATAAATTTGAGAAGAAATGACAGGGAAAAAAGAGATCTGTCTAGAAGCAGTACATTTTTAGGGAAATCACTAGGAGATACATGAGGGAGGGGTGTAGTGGAAGGTAAGTGTTACTTTATTAAGTATATTTATTCAGGTCTACTGCATCTTCCAATTCCCAGTTTCTAGTAGGGCTATTTTCACACCCTGGTAAGGGCTATTTTTACACCCTGGTGGGGAAGGGCATCTCTCCCAGAGGATTCTTTATGGCTTGCTACATGCAGGAAGAGACAGGTTACCTCCCCTTTCTGAAACTATAATTTCTCCAATGTTTTCAAATCAGAATAATCAATATACCAATTCAGCATATTTTGGGATGGCAAGTCCTTCACTACTTCAGTGGGTGAGCTGAGCACTTTCATACCTTATCATTTATTGTTGCACATTTGCATGATTATCAAGTCTTAATGAATTTTGATTTGACAATAATTTGTATTCATTTCTTCCTTCATTCATTTTCCAACCTGCTTACTCCAGCTCAGGGTCGTGAGGCTCTGGTAGCTCAGGGCCAAAGCAGGAACAAACCCTGGACAGAATGCCATCCCATCACAGGGTGCACTCACATACACATACACACTCAGTCAGACTGGGACCACATAGACATGTCAGTGAACCTAACAGGCACATCTTTGGAATGTGGAAGGAAACTGGTGTATTCAGAGAAAACCCATGAAGACGTAAGGAGAATGTGCAAACTCCACACAGACAGTGGCTCCTGCTAGGAATCAATTTTTTTCCTCATCATTATTATATCAAAACAACCTTGAATGAGACAACATTATTTGAGGAACTGCTGTACTGTATTTGAGTTCTGTAGGATTCCAGAGGGGAAACAGGGTTCTACCCATTGCACTTTTCCACTTATTCCACTAATGACTTCACATTCTTTTGTAATAAACATTGATCATATTAAGTATTAGGATAAGTAGTTTGCAATTGCTCCAAAATATTTAGAACATTTATTCCATCCATCTCATTCTTCCTATGTGATAGAACATACCCTTCCAAAGATATCATCTACAGACTCTCTTCTATGAGCCAAATAACTTTGGTATAGGTAAAGATCTGAATAAAAGTATTTCTGCCTCCCATTCTTTTCCTCTCTGCTTTCCCCATTCTATATTTGTAAATAAATGAACAAGTTGATGCATTAGAAAGTACAACAATACATATTAAAATGTCCTTCTTATTTAAACTAGTTTTTCCTTTACTTTGTACAGGAAGGTATTGTAGAGCAATAGGATAAAATAAATTTTCTCCTTTAAAAGTAAAATCTTTTACTGGACATTAAGATTGAATGTACTGGCTGGGTGCAGTGGCTCATGCGTGTAATCCCAGCATGCTGGGAGGCCAAGGTGGGTGGATCACTTGAGGTCAGGAATTTGAGACCAGCCTGGACAACATGGTGAAATCCTGTCTCTACTAAAAATACAAAAATTAGCCAAGTGTGGTGGTGCATGCCTTTAATCCCGGCTACTCGGGAAGCCGAGGCAGGAGAATCACTTGAACCCAGGAGGCAGAGGTTGCAGTGAGCCAAGAGGGTGCCATGGCACTCTGGCCTGGGCAACAGAGCAAGGCAAAAAAAAAAAAAAAGAGAGAGAGAAAGAAAGGAAAGGAAAGGACAGGAAAAGATTGAATGTACGTGGGTAAATAGGGAAATGATGATTTATGTCCCTTTGTTAAAGTGGTTATAAAAAAACAGTGGTTTTTAATTTGAGGAGAATTTATTAAAAATGCAGATTACAAAGTCAGAGATGTAAGACATGGAAGGTGGGGGTCAGGTATTTATAGTTGAGAAAATCAAAACAGGTGATTCTGATGTAGGTAATTTTCAGACATCTAATAGAAGAACACTATGCCTACACTTAATTACTTCATAGTAGTTATTGTATATTTGCTAATGTTTACTTTTGTTATTTGCTAGCTTTAATAACTTTTTATGCTTTCATTAAATCAGGTCAAATCATTTGTAGTTTTTGTTACAGTCATACTTTTTAAAAAAGTATTTGGATCATCCAGCTTAGACCCTAATAATTCTGTTTACCTACATTTTTGCAAAAATGAAAGTCTACTTAGTAATAATAAAATGAGCTAAATCTGCTTAAAGCCAAGATCAAAAATTTTACTAAGGTAATTTTTTCTTAAGTTTTAATCTACTTCTTGGAGTGGAGGAGCAACCTGTCAATTATGTATTAAGTTCAAATTTCATATACACAGTACACATGAAACATTAAAGCTCTGAACTAAAATAATTTCTTATTAACATTTAAGTAAGATGTTTATCTAATCTTGTCACAGTTAGAAGCAGAAACCAAAGGGGTTTAAATATGCATCTCATCACTGAATGTCAAGCCACTAACAGAGCCCTTAATTAGCATGTGAAACATCTTAGTTCTTTGCTAAGTGGTTTCTTTGTCCCACTCACTCCTGCGGGTGGGAGACAGCATTAGACAACTTGTTGCTGAAACTCAGTTCACATTTGTTTTCCAAAATATTTATGTATTTTCTGTGTTCACGGCTTTACTGCTGACTGAACTGTGTCCTGGAGGAATGGACAAAAGAGGAACAAACATTTTCGGGAAATTGAAGAAAATTTCAGATTTCACTGGGAATTTGGATACCAATATAATTCATAGGCATTTCATTAGATTTTGGCTCATTAACTACAACAAACATATTGGGGATTATAAGCAACGCCTTCAAATTTTAGGGCCATTTTAAAACTCATTGTAACAACACAGCATAACTCCTTCTTTTTTAAGATCCTTGGTTGCTCAAGATTGACTTGTACTCTCAGTGTTATTTGGAGAGTTCTGAAATTGGTCTGATGTTGGCATTTCACAAGCCCCATCCATAGGCCTTGAAATCTAACAACATTTTAAATTAAAGTGCTTCCTATTAGAAAAACAGTTTAATGAAGAATTATTATATTAGGTCAGGGATAGAGATGGGAAGTGGCCTATTACTTCACCATGCAGAACAGAATTTATCACATTGTCTAATGAGTAATCATTCATTAGTTCACAGATATTTGTGAATAGATTTTCCTTTGGTGGGTTTGGTAATAACTATTTGTTAAATATTAAGCCATTTATGTAACTTCAATGGCATTCTTTTATTAAAAATCTATACAATAAATGAACTGGATTAAATGATCCTGTGCACTTTCAGATCAAGATTTCAAAGGATCTTATTGTTTCTAATTTTTAAAGACTTGTTGTGTCTTATTATTATAGCTAACTCTTTAAGTTGAAGCTGGAACCAATTATCTATGGGAACAATTTGATTAAGGCAATTCAAAATAGCAAATTTTTATGAAGAGCCTACTCTGTGTTGAATACAATAAATAAATACTCTTACAGGTCTGGTCAATGTTCTATATCGTTGAGAAGATGGAGGGGCTGTCCTAAAGTAAGCAGCAGGGCTTGGCTCCTTCTTGCAGAAGCAAAGGAGAAATAAAATAGGAGCTAAGGAGAAGTTTGAGGAGGCAGTACTGGGGCAGGGGAATGGGCAGGAAAGGTGAGGGACCAAAAGGGAAGCCACCTCCTTCACTAGTGTGAGCAGGAAGTAAAGAGGCTAGTATAGCCCATCTCTTGCTCTGGGGCTCAGGAGTCTGTTTATATATAAAGTTCACGTGAAGATAAAAATTTCTATTTCAGTCCGAACTGTGTTCGGTTCCTGACACAAAGCTAGTACTTAATAAATGGTAGTGGCTATTATTACAGTATTATTGCATTTATTTTTCTAGTGGTATCAGTATGCTGCCGTATAGCCACCACTCTGAACAGGAAATATAAATTTGATGGCAAAATGTCACTAATTCTGATTAATGGGAAATGTGACCCTATTTGGAAATAGGGTTATAGCAGATATAATTCATTGATATGAGGAGTGAGCCCCTAATCTGATTACTGGTGTCTCTATAAAAGGTGGCAATTTGAGTCTAGAAACACACACAAATAATAATTTTCTTATGCAAAAATAAAAAATGATTAGAGTGGTTTTATCTTTTATTGCTTTATTTTCTTCCTTCCAAAAGAAATTTGAAATTATTTAAATAAAAATATTAGCTGTTGGTTAATGGGCACTTATTTTGTGGTAGGAGTACTGTACTAAAGAAATCCCACTGAGCATCTTTATAAACCATTCAACAATATAATGAGGTAGGTATGGTAGCAGCCTCCTTTATTTTATGTATGGAAATATTGACAGTGGGAGGATTTTGTGGCTTGCAGAAGGCTTCACAGTTGGCCTAGAATATATTAATAGACAAATCTAAGGTAGCCTGAAACTTTGTGCTTTAAAAGAGCTATTGCCCCTATGTCCAAAGGCTGTGCAATGTTCTGAGAGTGTGTGGGTCGAGGGGAGGAGGCACTCATCCCTGTTCTCATGGCCACTCCCTTCTCACTTGATCAGGGTGGTTGGATGTTGGGAAAGAAACCTTTGGGCCCCAGTTGGCTCTTAGTACAAAGATGACCGTGATTTTGCCTCAGATCTCAGCTCCACTCTAGAAGCACATTTGGGTGAAGCTTCTGGAGATTTGGATTTACCTGGATGCTTTTTGGTTCCAGATAAAAAGCATTTTCAGAGAAGTCAAGGAACTTTGGCTGCAATAGCATCAATGTTCATGAATAAAACTCTGTGAAATAATTCTGAAAACAAGAAGGCTTAGGAGGCTATTTTAAAAGGAGGCAAATTAGAGGGTTCAGTCTGAGTCCTGCTGTTTTTTCTTAGTAAAACTTAATGTCTCCTATAAAAACATGGGCTCTCCATTACTCTTTTATTATCCAGTTCACATTTTAGCTACTCAATACAATCATATTCTCATTTGTTCATACAATGATTTACTCATTAAATAGAATTTGAGTGCTGACTCAGTGCCAAGTCAGGAAGGATAGATACCCAGCCTAGAGTGGTTGTGAGAGAGATAATTCTGGAGGAAGTGATCTGAGGTAGTAGGTGGTTCCTAGCTAGTAAGTAGGAATTAGTCATGAGAAGAAGTAGGATAGAGAATATTCCAGGCATAGCAAAAGGCAGGGAAAGGAGAATGCTAGAGGAAAGTGCTGAAAGATGATTCTGGGAGGTACAATGGAGGCAAATAGTCACAAAAAAACTCGTATGGCAAATAAGGAGTTTGAATTTTACTTGGTTAAGTAATGATGAAATACTGAGAGTTTTAAAACAGTTTGTTGTACTGACACCAGTGGGCTCTGGAAAGTTCCCAAACACCAGTGGGACCTTGATTCCAATGGGTGTCCAGGCTTTTGACATCATCTCAAGCAGGAATTCATGAGTGATTCAGAAAATAGTGAAAGTATAGAGATTTCTTGCGAAATGAAAAGTACACACTCAAGAAAGGGGAGTGTTGGTATACTCAAGAGAGTTGCACACAAGGGGGTTTGGGGATGTTACTTTTATGAGTTTCTTTAACAAAGAGGTGGAATAATCATGATTCCTGAAAAAAGGTGATTTCTTAGCACAATTAAAAGTTCTGTACTCATACCTCTATGGGCCGTATAAATTTTGAATACCTCACAGAGCTCAGAATGCTCTCAGCTAGACTAGGGTTTCTTGGAAAAGTGGTGTCACCTAATTTTTCTTTTCTTTTCTTTTTCTTTCTTTCTTTCTTTCTTTCTTTCTTTCTTTTTTTTTTTTTTTTTGAGACAGAGTCTCGCTCTGTCGCGCAGGCTAGAGTGCAGAGACATGATCTCAGCTCACTGCAACCTCAGCCTCCCCGGTTCAAGCAATTCTTCCTGCCTCAGCCTCCTGAGTAGCTGGGATTACAGGTACCCGCCATCAAGCTGGGCTAATTTTTGTATTTTTTAGTGGAGACAGGGTTTCACCATGTTGGCCAGGCTGGTCTTGAACTCCTGACCTCTAGTGATCCACCCACCTCAGCCTCTATTAAAGTGCTGGGATTACAGGCGTGACCAGCCTCTATGGGCCTGATAAATTTTGAATACCTCACAGACCTCAGAATGCTCTCAGCTATTTTTCTTTCCTCATATGTTATAAGCAGGGCATCTTTACCTTTTAGGAATGTTGAAAGCTGTTAAACATAGTTTTCTGGGCTGCAATGCTTAATATAACTTGAATTTTCACTTACTATTAAATATGCAGAATGAAAAAGTTACTTGCTAGATACTTTCTATAGTGTGGGTAGATTAAAATCCTCATTAAATTAATTTACATTTACATTTTAGTTACGTCCTTTTTTCTTTTTTTTTGAGACGGAGTCTCACTTTGTCGCCCAGTCTAGGGTGCAGTGGTGTGATCTCGGCTCACTGCAACATCTGCCTGCTGGGTTCAAACGATTCTCCTGCCTCCGCCTCCCAAGTAGCTGGGATTACAGGCATGCACCACCACCCTGGCTAATTTTTGTATTTTTAGTAGAGACGGGGTTTTGCTATGTTGGCCAGGTTGGTCTCAAATTCCTGACTTCAGGTGATCTGCCTTCCTCGGCCTCCCAAAGTGCTGGGATTACAGGTGTAAGCCACCATGCCAGGCCTTATGTACTTTCTGATACAATATAAAATGCAGCTTTTTTATGGGTAAATGGTTGTTCCAAAGTGCCAAGTATCTAAATAGCTCCATTATGGTAAGGGGTGGGAAAGCTCTTAGGTATCAGGTTAGCTTTGTTAGACGGAAAGAACTATGATTTTGACAGCTGCTCCAGCTGCAGAGTTTCGGGGATGCTGTTCTCGTTAAGGGAAACTAATGCTTTTAAACCATATCAGCAACAGCACCTAAGGAGAGCAATTCTGTATTTTACACAAGAATTTCCACAAAGTAGCTATTAATATCAGGAAATATATATTATGTTTAATACTATCCTCAATTCTAAATAAAGAGAAATTGGACTATATCCTTGGAGAATAGAAATTTGTGCCTTATTTATAACAGGAGAAAGAACTGACTTCCTTTTCTTGAAATCTTCCAGCAGGTTTATTTGTTATTCAAAAGTATTCACAGAAAAATGATCTCTTAGCATAATAGGAGGAATATGGAAAATAAGGAATAGAGTATTTTTTTCTTCTACTGCTTTATAGCAGACACAGATAATTACAAAGTTTGGCATTGCTTTTGGACAAGTTGTGTCAACTGTTTGTGGTGATCTGTAGCACAGAATCGGGGCAATTCTTCAGGTTGACACTCGTGGGAGAACTTGAAATAAGAGAACAAGTCAACTTCCTTACCAATCTGAAGCATGACCATTCTGTCTCTCCATTCCTACTTCTCTCCGTTTGCTGATTCAGGCATTAGATAAAAGGAAACAGATCGCATTTCCCAAAGTGCAAGATGCTGAGTGAGAAAAACAATTCCTCAGGTGTCAGATTATTTGAGGAAAGCTGGCTGGACAAAGCCAAACAGGTTTATCTACTACAGAGTTTTTTAGAGCCTTTAGATGCTAATGTAACAGCCATCAAAATAAGAATGAAAATTCACTGAGTGCCTACCGTGCCTCAGGTACAGGGCTTAGCTTGTGTTGCCTTGTTTAACACTCATGAGGAACTCTGCCAGGGGCGTACTAATATTACGCTCATTGTCCACAGGAGGAAACGGAGGCCAGATAACTTGTGAAGCTTACAGAGTGTATTAGGCCATTCTTTCATTGCCGTAAAGAAATACCTGAGACTGGGTAATTTATAAAGAAAAAAGATTTAATTGGCTCACAGTTCTGTATGCTTTACAGGAAGCATGTGATAGCATAATCTTGGCTTCTAGGGAGGCTTCAGGAAGCTTACAATTATGGCAAAAGCAGGTGCAAGAAGGACGAGGAGGTGCTAGGCCCTTTTTAAAGACCACATCACATGAGAACTCACTGTCAAGAGGACAGTACCAAGGGGGATGGTGCTAGGCTATTCGTGAGAAATCTGCCCCCATAATTCAAACAACTCCCACCAGGCCCCACCTCCAACACTGGGAATTAAATTTCAACATGAGATTTTGGCAGAGCAACATTCAGACTATATCGCACAGCTAAGCAGTTGTTCTTTGAGGGCGGGATTCAGTATGCAGTATTTCACACATTTATTAAAACACATTTTTTTCTTCCATCCATTTTTCCTTCATGATATCTATTGAAATTCATATTCTATGGGATATGGTTTAGGAAATGTTGTAGCAGAGGAAATATGAAAGAATGTTGGGAAGAATGCTGCAGAGTGGTTGCATTTTCTCAGACATAAGAGATGTGTGTTACGCTAGCCCAAGACCAGGGAATCTTTGCCCCCTCTTTGGGGTTGGACAAAATACTACAGGCCCGTGACTTAATATTTCAAAATCTATGGAACCTAGTCTTCCCTTCAAAATAAATTCTTCCCATTTCTGGTAGATAAATCTTTGTTGGGGTAGTACTTAAAATATTTTAATTAAGGAGACAGAATAAATTCTGGTACAAGCATAATCCCTATGTTCAGAATCCTTTTACTTTACGTAGCTTATGGCCTTAGCTACACTAGCTAAACCTCAGATCTGACTTTTATCAGACAGAAGAGAATTTTAACAGCTTGGCTCACTTCTCAGATCATTTTAAAATATGAGTCTTTGTCAGCTACCTGAACAGGCAGTACATAAATTATGAAAAAGAAATGTTCAATAAACATAAAATGTCCAACTTCTCTCCTAATCAAAAAAGAAAAATAAGAATGATGAATTTTTTTATTAATCAGATTGTCAACATTTATGAAGTTTGATAATGTCATTGTTGGAAAGGTCTTACATGCATTTCTGGTGGGAAAGTAAATTATTACATTTTTACAGGACGATTTGGGAATATCTCCCAGGCTAAGGGGAAAAACGTTCATATCTTTGGACCTAGAGATGCCTGCTGTATATATTGTCAGTAAGTTCTCCTTTGTTCTTTCCACAACTCATCCTTTAAAATGGTGGATTACGTGTAATATCCAGGTTTTATCTGTCCTTGTAATAGGATTGTACATCCTCACTCATTGACATGTGTTTTCCAGTGCCTCTCACAGAGGGAGCATAAACTTCTCACTCCATTGACATCACTCCTGTCTACATGATTTGCTTTGGCCATGGAAAGTGAGTGGATATGATATATGCCATAACTGAGCAGAAGTTTGAAAGCCTAGATTGGTTTTGCCATTTTTTTTTCCTCTGCCACAAGATAGAAAAAGAAGTTGCCTCTTCAGCCTCAACCCTAGAATATAAATGACATAGATTCAACCTGAAGTCAAATATCAGCTGACATATATGTAAGCAAGAAATATTGTCATTGTAAGCCTGAAATATTGCTGTTGTTTTTTTTAACCAGAGCAAAACCTGGTATCAGCTAATGGAAAACCAATATTCACTATCTCTATACTCAGAATAAACTCTAGTTAACTTGGCTGTCCTCCTTTCCAAACTGTACAAATGTTTGAAATTTCTAATATATTTGAAAGTATGTATTTTCTTATGTTGTTTGCCAACTGTATTACATGGTCCTCTCTCAAGATGTATGTTAAACAGCTTCATGCCATATCATATACATTTTTAAAAATTGGAGTAAAACTTACATGAAAAATTAACCAATTTACCCTGTACAATTCAGTGGTATTTAGTACATTAACCATATTGTGAAACTACTACCTCTGTCTAGCTCCAAAGAATTCTCATCAATTCTAGTCCCAGTTTCCATTGGGAATTCTCATCATTCCCAATGGAAACCTCATATCCGTTAGGTAATAATGCCCTATCCCCCTTACCCCCTTTCACCTAGAAACCACTAATCTGCTTTCTGTCTCTATGGTTTTATCTTCTTTAGATGTCATATAAATACAATTGTACAATATTTGATTTGTTTGTGGCCTCTTTCAGGTAGCACGTTTTTGAGATACATCTACATTGTAGCATGCATCAGAACTTTCTTTTTATTGCTGAATAATACTCCATTTTATAGATACACCTTATTTTGTTTATTTGGGTTGTTTTCACCTTTTACCTCCTGTGAATAGTGCTGCTATGAACATTTGTGTACAAATGTGTGAGAACCTGTTTTCTATTCTATTGATTATAAACTGGGAATATAATTGCTGAGTCATGTGGCAATTCTGTGGCTTTTTGAGAAACCATGTAACTGTCTTCCACAATGGTTGTACCACTTTACATTTCTACCAACAGTGTATGAAGGTTCCAGTTTCCCCGCATCCTTGCCAATACTCACTGTTCACCTTTTATTTTTTAATTCTAGGCTTTCCAGTGGGTGTGATATAGCATCTCATTGTGGTTTTGGTTTGCACTTTTCTAACAATTAACAAGGTTAAACATCTTTTTATGTGCTTGTGTGCCATTTTTATGTCTAGGAAAATATCTATTCCAGTTCTTTGCCCATATCTAATTAGTTTATTATTATTTTTATAGAGACAGGAGGGTCTTGCTATGCTGCCCAGCCTGGTCTCAAACCCGTGAGCTCAAGGAATCCACCCACCTGGCCTCCCAAAGTGCTGGGATTACAGGCATGAGCCACCACGTCTGGCCTCTTTGCCCATTTCTTAACAGAACTCTTTTTTGCCCCAACTCTAATCTGTTTACAAAGTTAGCAGTGGCTTGTTTATTCGCCTTTCAGTGTTATTGAGAAATGCCCTCAGCACAGCCAGTTTTCTACCTTGAGAAAGTTCTGAAATAGGCAAAACAAAAGAGAGTGTTTTACCTTAGTCCCTCAGGGAGCTCCCTGACAGGTCAAAACAGAAAAACATAATTACATTAGACAAAGTTCTGCTCTGCTCCTGCTGGAGTCTTGAACCCACAATGAGAATGTAAGCTTTTGTTTTAAGACCACCACAAATCCATGGAGGGTGCTGGAACTTGGCCAAAGAAAATGTAGCCAAGTTCTGCCACGATTAAGTCACTTTTCCCTTGATTCAGCATTAGCTTGGTTACTGTACACTTTGGGCTATTTTTCATAGTTCCAACACAGTTCTTTCTGAGAGTTTGGCTTTTTTTTTCTAATATCCCATGATACATATATATACTTTTAAGTAATTGTCTCCACTGCTGGAGGATAACAACATAGGGTTGTTATCCAAATATCCTTAATGTATTTAAAACCATTTCTGAAGATACATAATGTTTGAAAGCCGTTGATTCCTGCTTGACTGGTGAAAATGACAATGAAATAGTTTATTTCTTCTTAATGAGTAATCCCAGCACTTTGGGAGGCCAAGGCAGGCAGAGCATGAGGTCAGGAGTTCAAGACCAGCCTAGCCAACATGGTGAAACTCCGTCTCTACTAAAAATACAAAAATTAGCCGGGTGTGGTGGTGGTAGCTGTAATCCCAACTACTCGGCATGCTGAGGCAGGAGAATCACTTGAACCCAGGAGGCAGAGGTTGCAGTGAGCTGAGATCGCGCCATTGCACTCCAGCCTGGGCAACAGAGAAATACTCAGTGTTGGGAAAAAAAAAAAAAGAGGTACCCATTTATTTAGAAGGAAGTAGCAGGTACCAAAAAAAAAACATTATTTGCTGGTTGGTAAAGTTCATTAATTGACTTGCTCTACATTGTTTTATGTTTCCAAACCAGAGAGTCCTCCAATAAACCTGTTTAAGAAAAATACCAAAAAACTCCAGTAACACACAACAACAAAAAGCAAAACTTAACTCATACTTGCTTCTTGGAAAGAACCCCCTTTAAGACTAGATCAATGCCACAGTCAAACTCATATAAGCAAGGAATATAATTGTGGTTGTCAGGGGCTGGGAGGTGGAAATGGAAATAGGCCAGGTAAGGTTGTTCACAGGGAGGCAGAGGTGGGAGGACTTCTTGAGCCCAAGAGTTCAAGACCATCCTGGGCACCATAATGAGACCTTGCCTCTACAAAAAACAGCAACAACAACAACAACAACAACAACAAAATTAAAATTAGCTATGCATGGTGGTGCATGCTTGTAGTCCCAGCTATTCAGGAGGCTAATGTGAAAGGATCACTTGAGCCCAGGAAGTTGAGGCTAGGGTGAGCCATGAGCCATGATTACACCACTGTGCTCCAGCCTGGGTGACAGAGTGAGACTCTGTCTCAAAAACAAACAAACAAACAAACAAACAAAACCACGAAATAGAGATGAAAAGAAAACCAATGACATGATTAGATTTGCTTAATTTTTACAAGGAATGTTTGTGTAAGGTAAAGTAAGAAGGAATAAACATAATAACCAAAGTTTCTTCTGAAAATGAGTCATATTTATTTGGAGGCACTAATTACTGGATTGGACTGGGTTTATAGGTTTGAAGATTTCTTAATAGGAAACATATTTTGAAATACATATATATATATAAAAAGTCACATGATCCTTTTCCTTTTATGGTATACCCTATGCTTTTTAATAAGGCAAAGTTAAATTAATGATTTTTTATTTTAAAAATAGGAGACAATTCTGTTATATTGTGTGATTAGATATGACCATTAAAGTTGACTCTGCAAACTTTGTTCTATAATAGTAAATGGACATTTTTGGGGGCTTAGTATAAGGGTAGTGGTTGTCTGGGACAAATATTTCACACATGGGTAGCTTATAGGCTACAGCTATTTTTAATCTGCCTAAACATCTGTAATATACTCAAGTGTATGCCATCTGTTTTTTTTGTTGTTGTTGTTCTATAGTCTCATAATATTTATTAGAATAAATTGTATTGAATAATTGCACAGTTAACCTTGTTATATTTTTGGATGTACTTGCCTTTCTGAAGCCAACAGCCAATGTAATGGATTAATAGGAGGCATTAGCCAAGGTTAAAGAGTTATTACTATATGTAGCACACTGGCCATTTAAAAGCCTGGCAAAGGGCCTCTAGAGGAAACATGAATTGTGTGATGTTATCTTCCTAGTCTACATTCCACTATGGATATCAATCTAGAAAATCCCATAATTTTCTTCAGGTTCAATTTTTTTTTTTCAGCAAATCACTACAATTTCATCAGTAAAATTTGTTGAGTTTTTTGGGAGCAAAAGCCTACCAAAAGTGAAAGAATCATATAATCGTAGAGTTGTAAGGAACCTTAAGATCCCTTGGCAAATCACACCATTTTTGGGGGGAAGAGTGTGAGGAGAATGGTGAAGAAATTGAGTCTGGGAGAGGTTCTCTTTATGATGATAGATTTGTAGTAAAAGTAGTAATATTAAAAATCAATTTTAAAAGTAGGAATTTAGAAAAAAAGTCATGAGTACCTCAATAATGTATTTTCATGGAAGAAGCCAGTGATTTTGGAGGTAACACTGTGACTTGAGGGGATGGATTTTAAAGAGTTATTTGAAAGAAAGAGCCACTGATAGAAGGAGAGGAAAACAGCACCATGTTAGGAAGGTAAACAAGAAAAACTACAAATATGGAGCCAAAAAAAAAAAAAGAATACTCAAAGCATGCTGATGAATGCAGTTACATCTTTTTGGAGAGAACTTTCATTTGTATATTCTAGGGCTTGTCCCTTAGCACAGAACTGTTCGAATGTTTGTGTAGATGATTGATATAACAATACAGACGGTATGCAGAAGACCCAAAGTTGAATGGAAAAGCTGGCTAATATGCTTTTTGTTAGAGTTGAGAATTAGAAATATGGAAACCTTGAGCCCCTGAATACAATAGTGAATAGCTTTGAATGCTGTTTAAAAATATAATAAAAAGTAAAGCTACCATAAATCGTTTGACTGAAAAAGAGCAAAATTTGTCAGCAGTGCAAGGAGTATACACTTTGCTTGATCAATAAGCTCAGTGTAAGGCAACAATATATCAAAAGATTGAATACGCATTTTTATTATTTTATAATAGTCTTAAAAATATATCCAGAATAGGTGATAGAATAATGCTATTCAAATCTTAACCAGAATGTTGTGTCTACTGGGTATCATATTGAAAGAAAATCAAGAGACCTGAGTAATGGCCCCTGAACTCCTTTAAGAAACTATTGAAAGCTCGATCTTTTTTTTTTCCTGAAATAAATATGGTTACCATATCCTGCCAATGAATTCAAAGAGTTCACATATCAATGCTGAAAATCTTTAAAGTAGAACAGCAAGTAGAAGTAAGCCAGGAGAAGAGAAATTAAAACCATACCATTTGAAGAATATGTGAATTAGGAGTGTTTAGACTGGAGAATAAAAAGTCTGATGGGACCTGAGTTGTAATGTGATAGGCCTTACAGTATTTATCAATATGAAGTTGGCCTCTTTTCCTGGCACATTTCCATGAGATTACCTCTGACCAGTGGCATGAGGAGAAGGATGTGCATTATTCCTGGGCTATGACATCTATTTGCTGCTGTGAGATATACCAGCGATCATTCCCCCTGCAATGTATATCAAGCAGGCAGCATATTCATGATAATGCAGTTAAAGATGGGAAGTTTTCCATCACTTTAGGTTTCTCAGTAACTATGCTAACTCATGATATATATGTACAGTGAAATATCTTCACTGAATTAAGCAACTGGGATTAGGGGACTGCAGCATCATTTATCATATTTAGATAACTTTTCACTTTCTAGGAAAGACAATATTTTTATTATTTTGATTGTAATGAAATTTCAAGACAGTAAGAATAGAGATTGGGCAAAATATTTTATTGTTTACTTTTTAAAATCAAATATTATGGCTAGCAAAAAATAGCTATCACCCAATCTTGTCATGCCTACTGCATGAAGGTGACATTCTCCAACTGTCTAACCTTTCTTGGGTCCCAGAGATGCCATAGCTCAAGGTATAGACAGATGACTTACTTTGGGATCACTAATTACAGCTAGTCCTTTGACAGTATTAGTCAGCCAATCACTCCTGGAGGGGTGGGAGTGGAAGGCACTGAAGCCTTGAATTACTTCTCTCTGGGTAGAAATTGTGCCCATGTGGCCATATTTAAGCCCAACTCCAATTCATCACTGGGGATGCTGAAATCTAAAAATAAAGCACACATGATCTCTAAACAAAGAGGTTTGAAGCATGAATTTTTCAAACATTCTGCCTACCTCTCCCTAGTTGTATATATCTGATTTATGCTCTGGAAAGGGGTGCATACTTTTTTATGTGTCTTTTTTTAAACCCAAACATAATAATCTTGGTCTAATTTCCATTAAAACTAACTCTATTCCTTGTTATCAGGTGAGTCATAAAGAAGATATTCCCAAGGATTCCCCATCATAATAAGAAAAGAGTTGCTAATAATTAGGGCTGATGAACAATTAGATCCACCAGGTTTCTCCTGGTTCAAATATTCAAATAGTGACTGTATAGAAGGCACCTGGCACCAGGTAAGGGCTTGGACTCGATGACCTCTAAACTACAATCAAAAGCTGAGAGTCTGTGGTTGTATTTGCCTAAATATCTCCCGTCTCTTCTGTTTTCATAGGCACTTTTTATCACAAGCTATTGACAGCACAGATTTTTATCTAATGCATATAAATGAATGTTTATGAGAAATTCCAGAATGTTTTATAAGACACTACTTTTTAATAATACAAGGCTGTAAGGGTAAAAGTCTAAATTTTCAACAAAATAACCAAATTTGCATATAACCGGTCTATGCAAAGGCAAAGTGGAATTGAAAAATTCAAGAAAATGCCAGGTAGCCTTTTTTAAGTGGTGGGAGTCAGTACCAATTCAAGAGCCAGCATCTTTTAACATTTTTATATCCAGGATACTAGACCAAGTCTCTTGACATTCAAAAGAATAATTCTTCATGACTTAATCTTAGCAACAAGAAGTGATTTCACAGCATCCCCTCCATTTTGACCCCCGGTCAGTATCCTCTGACCATTTTATGGCTTGTTTTATTTGTCTTTTAAAATAAATATGAATCAACATACCCAAGAAAATGAATCTTGCACTACTGAATGGCATTCCTGAGGAAGTGAATTTAGCATTACTGAATGTTGGCTATCACCATTGTTATGACTTTTAGGGGATTTTTTGTTGTTGTTGTTTCAGGTTTAGATAGGAGCATGCATTATTGATTTATGAAACAATTTGTAGCTGTTTGCTGTTATGTCAAACACCTTGTGCCACACAGTATTGAATTCCTTTGTCTGCTACTTGTAAGCAGTGTGCTCATGTTTTAAAAAATGAAAAAAGAAAAGAAAAAAATACAAACAAAACCCTTAGCAAAATTGGTTTATTTGACTCTAAATTTTATGTTGTTTATATCTGGAAGTGATTCCAAGGGAATCAGAATATCACTTGCTGATTGAGATAGCACAATTCCTGAGAAGTAATTAGAACATATTCTATTAGTAGATGTATAAGCTACTGTAAATGAAAGATAAGGAGACAATGTTTTCAAGAAAGAAATGGCAATGATCATATAATGGTTGTAAGCACAGATTGTTCTCCAAAGACAGTTAATTTTCTCAAAGTGTACTCTTGAATATTTTTTCTTTTTTCTTCTTATAATTCTTACAGATTCAATATCTTAACTTATCTCAGCCTAAGTTTCCTCCTCAGTACAACAGAGATAATTGTATCTAAATTGTACTGTTTTTGTACATATTAAATGACAAAGTAATACATGCAAAACATATAACAGGTTGTTTAGTATATAGTAAGTGTTTGTTACTATTTTTATTGTTACTGTTAACTCCTACTGTAATGAATTCTCTTGATATAGGTAAGGATGTCTATCTAGCTTAGAGAAGGACTATGCTGGTGGAAATAGTAGGAGACTGTACACCAGCAACCTTGGCTTCTAGTCCTTGTTTTTCTGCTAACGAATTGTGTGGTGATCACCAATCCCTTATCTCTTTGAGTTAAATTTAAGACACTTGTTTGTATTTTGTTTTTCTCTAGCTGCAAGAACCCCCAACATTTTCAAGTTAAAAATTTCTTTGAATTTATGTAAGACAGCATCATGATTGACAAAATATCTTACTACAAATATCTTATTAATGATAAATACTGAAAACTACACATTATGGATGTCAAGTGATTCAGAGTATTTTCTTCCCTTGGTTATAGACAGTGCCCCTTTTACTGAATGCCCTGCCAGCAGATCTCCTTTCCATCCTCCTATTTCACACACTGCTGGCTCTCTATCTCTTACTGAACACTTTGAGAACACTATTTTTAATGGGAGAATCATCTTGAACTTACTGAAACCTCTTTGACCAGCTTCAGATCCGAGAGTGGGTAGGTGAAATGTGGACTGGGCATTGTGTTCTATTACCTGTCTAAAGATAACTTTGTAAATAAATTGTTAAGGCTGCAAGTGGGGCTTCAGTAATTGTTTTTCTAAATTCAGAGATAAAAATTCCCTCTGGGCCACCAGTCAGTTCGATCTGTTTGAAAAACAATGACTCGTCATCATCCTCATTCTTCTTATAATCTTTTCAATAATTTATTTCATGAAGAAATGCTTATTCCATGCCAGGCACAGGGTTTCATGTTTTTAATACATTATCTTATTATATCTTTACAACAAACCAACAGGTAGGTCCCATTATCTCTATTTTTACTGGTAAAGTCACAAGGCTTGTGAAGAGGATGTCTCTATTTGAGTGCTGCTCTCTTTAAATCCAAGGTCTGTGCTTTCTGTTGTTCCTGCTTCTTCCCCATCAGATTAGATCAAAGTTTAATCTTGCTTTCTCATTTCAAAACCTGACTTTGTTGGAGGAGAGCCTGTAAGAGAGGAAGTGAGACTAGATCCTATCAATAGCTTCTCCTGAAGGGTGACATTACTTCTGGGCTAATTCCTTATTGAAGGAACTATGGAAGAAAATTATTACAGTGCTTGTCTCTTTGAAGGTGTTTTTCTTAAGTGAAGGCAGCCCCAAGGAGTCCCCAAAGGAGTTGTAATTGAGTTGCTCTTCCTTTTACTCATCACTGTTAAGCCAGGTATGCAAATAACACTGAGGCATTTTGGAAGGTTATTTGAGTCCTGCTGTTTGTTCAAGCAACATTTGAGAAACACTATTAGGAAAATGTGTGCATGTTCTACATCATTTGAGATATAATGAATCTTGATTATTAGATTAATCATATTATGTGTGTCAACTAGAAAAATGTGCCTTATTTGAGGGGTGATATTTTTGTCAGCAGGTACTAGTGAGGATGTTTTTTGGTAATCTATTGAAAGATGAAGTCACAGATTTTTTTAAGGAGGTTTTAGCTTATATTTGACTGAGGTTGAAGAAGCCAATTTGGAAGGCAGCTACTTGTGAAGCTCTCTAGATATTAAGTGTTATTTCTAAAACAAATAATCACTCCAGGAAATTGTAAAGACCATGATCCCAGGAAAATCTTAGGAGACAGTAGAGCATAGAAGGAAGAACAATGAACTAGGAATGAGAAACTGCTATGCCAGTAACTAACTGTATGTGTGTCTTAGGACAAGTTACTTAACTAGTGTCAAGCTCACGTTCTGCGTTTGAGAAGTAAATGTGGTTGCGTGTTTGATCAAGCAGTTTCTAATGTCCCATTGAACTACATATACCATGATTTGAAGTGTATGCAGAATTAATGATTTGCTATCAGTAAGGATGTTTATTTTATACCTGTTTCCTTAGATGGCCTTCTAACACAATGAAAGATGACCTTAAATTGTTGAATAAAAATAGTATTCATCTTTCTAAAAATCAAAACTTGTCCATGTGTTAACCCTTTATTGTCACATTAGCCTTTACACTGTATGCATATTCCTGTCAATGTATACAGCTAAGAAAAGGTAACAGACCGCCAAATAATACTGACTTTACTGGTGTACGATACAGATATTAAAGTTTAGAGGCTTCCTAATTTCTAGGCAATTGGCTTACCTTTTCATAACCTTACCTTAACTCTGAAAGATAACTACAATGAGCTGAATTGTGCACGCCCCTCCGCTCAGATATTGAAGTTCTAACCCCTAGTATCTCAAAATGTGACTGTAGGTATTTGGAGATAGGGCTGTGAAAGAGGTGGTTAAAGTAAAATGAGGTCATGGGGGAACCCTAATCTAGTATGACTGGTGTTCTTATAAGAAGAGGAGATTAGGACACAGAAAACACAGACTAACATGCTCATGTGAGGATACAGAGAAAAGGAGTCTGTCTGCAAGCCAAGAAGAGAGGACTCAGAAGAATCTGTTGACACCTGGATCTTGGACTCCTAACTTCCGGAACTGTGAGAAAATACATATTTAAGCCATCACCCTGTCTATTGTATTTTGTTATGACATCCCTAGAAAACTGATACAGCATTATTATTCTCAGTTTTTGATTTAGAAAATGTGACTCAGAGAGGTTAGTTAACTGGCCAAAGATCACACATGGTTGATAAATGGCAGAACTTGGAATCAAACCTGTTTTTCTGTCCATGCACTTTCCATGTCACCATATGGTTGCCTTATTAAGCAGAACAGACGACCTTTACTCTTTCATGGAGCATCACAATGTCCCATGTAAGAGTCTATGTAAGGGTAACTGCTTGCATAGACTTACAAGGACTTTGCAAGCGTGACACCTTCAGGAAGAAGCAAAGCCTGTTGCTCAGGAGCCTGAGTTCCTTCACTGGACTGTTTGGGACCTGGCACTAGCCCTTGGTCTTTGAACTTGAATAAGCTACATAAACTTTCTGTGCCTTTTTCCTCCTTATATGATGAAATGGAAATAAAAATACCTACCTTATATGTTTGTTGGGAGGATTAAACGAGATACTGCATATACAGCCTTTGGAGTAGCCCTTGGCATGTTTTAGGAGTCAATACATGTTAGCTGTTAATAATGCTACAGTTGCTATTATTTTTATTACTTCATTTGATCTGACAACTATTCTGTAAGATGAATAACTTAAGGGACTTTTGCAATTTTTATGATCTACACTTATGCTAAAGAGAAGAAACAAAGGCTCTGAAATTACAACAGGTTATTTATTTTGAATGAGCTCAGTTTGTTTTATTTTAATTTCACCTTCATTTTTTAAACTAAATTAGCTTATTATAACTTATTTGGTTTTTGTTTATAATAACAGTATGATTATGACTCGAATTTTCACATAATTTTTGAATTAATGGGATGCTGGGTATCAGTCTAGGGACAGGTCTGTTGAGCTAACCTGTAATTGTTTCTTTACACTTTTAAGGGACTATCCTCAATATAAAAATAACCATTTTTTGGTAGTGATCTTTTATGACTGAGAATATTTTTATTGTACCAGAAAACTACAATTTTCTCCATTTAAACATTGGAGTTTTAAAAGCTCTTAGGGTTTGAACCAGGTCAAGTCATGTTTGCAATTACCTCTCGTTTCTCAAATAGTTTCCAATATGTAACAAAATGCAGTGTAAAAAAAGGGATTTAATAAACATCGCTATATGGGAAATGTTTTTAGGGATATGTTGTTAAATGTCCTCAGTATTTACTAAATGCTTTTAAGCAAAAACAAATAAAATAAAATTTCCCTTCAGCACTTTTTAAAAATTAATTGTGTTGTACAATAATGTTTTGATTTATGTTCGTATTGTGAAGTGGCTCAGACAAAAGCTGTCTAATATCTGCATGACTTCACATACTTGACCATATTTTGTGGTGAGAACATTAAAAAATCTACTGTTTTAGCATTTTTCAAGGATATAATATATCATTATTAACTATGATCATCATGATGAACAATAGATTTCTTGAACTTACTCCTGCCTAATTAAAATTTTATGTCCTTTAACCAACATTGCCCTAATTCTCCTAGCCCCCCAGCCTCTAGTAACATCATTTTACTCTCTCTTTTTATGATGTCAACCTTTTAAGATTCTTCCTAAGTGAGATCATGCAGTGTTTGTCTTGCTGTGCCTGGCTTCTTTCATTTACTGCCTTAAGGTTCACCCATGTTGTTGCAAATGACAGGATTTTCTTCCTTTTTAAGACTGAGTAGTATTCTGTTGTGTATAGGTACCACACTTTATCCATTCATTCTTTGATGGACACTTAGGTTGATTTTATACCTTGGCTATTGTGAATAATGCTGAAATGAAAATGGAAGTACAGACACCTCTTCAACATACTGATTTCACATCCTTTGGGTCTATACCCAGAAGTGGGATTGCTGAATCATATGATAGTTGTATTTTTAGTTTCTTGCAGAATCTCCATACTATTTTTCATAATGGTCATGAAAGGATATAGGAGCAGCAGAGTCAATGGTTACTTGTTTATGTGGAAAAAAATGTTTAAACTAGAAAAGGCAAAAGAAATATTTAAGAGGCATTTAAAGCACAATAATATTTTTTTTATTTTAACTACTTTGTTAAATGAGTTTTTATCAATAGATTCTGGTGAATCATATCACAGGGTACTAATAATAGCCATGAATTTTCAAGGAAATACCAGAAGGACAATGACCTGCTTCTCTCAGGATAACACCTTGACCTTACAACGAGGGTGCTGCGCAGGGCAATGGGGACCCTAGTATTTTTGGTCTATCACATTTGGCATAGATCTGCCTCAGGAGTGGGAACTGGATGAAGAAAGATAGTCCAAGGCCTTTTGGCTGCTCTTGCCTTGAATAGATCTCCTTCAACACAGAGCTGGGTGTATGTGATAAATCTTGGTGGCCTGCAACTTCCAGGAAGAAACTTCAGCCCTGACTGGGAGCTGGGAACAGAGGGAACCCTCTGTTCTCAGTAGCTCTGTTAGTGGTAGAGTTTCTTTTGTGTTGAACTAGAGAGATGGAGAGGGCATCGATCCCGTATTAAATGACACAGGCTGCTTGGTATTCTAAGAGTTAGTAGATTTTCTTGAATAAATGTATCTTCATTTTCTGTGTGCCCTTAGGACAATTAACAGAGACTTTAAATAGTTGTAAGTGTTGTTTTAATAATTTTCCCCAGTTATGGTTATTTCACTGGAGATAGAATTCACACAGCCATTCTGGGAGTTTTCTATTTAGTTGTCATCTGTTAATTGAGGTATTGGCAAGTGAAACTGTGCTTAGAAGAGGATAAAGCAGTGTGAATGTTTCTGAAAACCAGGCCATATTTGTAATAAGTGGAAGTAATAGATGAAGAGATGCCAGGAAGCAATGTTTCCACAGATGTAAAATGATGAAGACAGCTTTAATCTGGATAGCTCCACAGAGCAGAACTAAATTTTATACACAGAATTACTAGGAGGAAGATTTTACTAAATTTTTGAACAAATTTAGTTGAGTAAAAAATAAATGACAGGCAAATATGTGGCCCTGAACTCCCTTTGGAAATGTATTGGCAAAGCGGAGTCATGTTTTAAGGGAATGCTAAAGGAGATGTCTGCAGTGATAGATCATCAGGCAAAAATGAACATAGAAAAGTTTACATTTCACAGAGGCCAGCGGGAGGCTACTGTATTAATCAAGGTGAGAGAGGATGCTTGTCTGAAGGGGACAGTAGCAGACAGAATGGAGAGAGGTAAGCTAGCACCGAACATAATGGTAAAAGCTGTGGCGAAGGATCCAGGAATGTATGCAATTAAGCACAGCATGCTGTAGACCAACAGAGTTCACCTGATTCACAGTTAATGACTCTCATTCCTTTTCATTTATAGTCTAATGGGCCATAGGTGTGATAAAAGGGAATGTTTAGACACGCATATATTTGTATCTTCGCCTCTTTAGTTAGATGTATACTTGCTTCATTAAAGCTTAACTTCATATAGTTCAAGACATTGAGACATTTCGAAATGTAAGCCTTTCCTTGCCATATCAGCAGCAAAGGGAAAGATATACAATAGAGTGTTACGAGCACAGTGTTTCTCAAATTATTTGACTACACCAAATATCAGGAGTTTCCTGAAGCAACAAAAATGAATAGTAACACAAATAAAAACAAAAGAATATATGTCTGTTTATAAGTTTCAGACCTAGATTACAAGGTCAAGCATACTTTCATGCATTTAAAAAAAAAATCAAAGAAGATAAGGGAATATCTCTACAAAAAAAGTTCTATGAACTAAATGTCCATGAAGCAGCACAAGATAAGCAGAATAAATAGAGAGAAGTCTGGATAATATAGCCTTTAATCAGAATATAGGTATAAACTCTATTTAAGAGAATTAGAATGTGACTAGAAAATAATAAATTTTGACAACCAGGTCATCAATTTTGGTAAAATAAAGGGATGTGAGAAACTCAGAATTTTAATTGTGATTCTAAAAAGCTCATCTATTTTTCTTTTAGTAAAATCACAATTTTTGAGATACACCTAATTACGTAAAATGCCAGAAACTTTTTCTCTATGTATGCATTTTTACTTATGCCTTTAAAATATTCAATGTTCTGCTCAAAGTAATAAATTTTACTGTTAATATCTTCCGTCATTTAGAATTAGCTTTACTTAAATCTCATTAAAATACTATAATAGAAAATGGGACCTCTGTACATATTCAAGAACAAGAAGCAAATTTTCAGTAATAGTTTTTTACAACAGATTTTTAGGGCACATATATTATAAAAGATATTTCAACAAGCGATTCTCAAAATTTGTTTTGTATGTGAATCCTGTTCCATTAGGGTGGTGCAAAACTAATTGCGGTTTTTGCCATTGCTTTTAATGGCAAAAACCGCAATCGCTTTGTGCGCCAGCCTGACAAAATGCACCACAATTCAGCCAAGAGTCTAATAAAAATGTATGTCATTAAGAAGAAGATCTGTTACAGGCATGGAAAAAAGTTTTTCATCCTGCTGTAATTAGGGGTTTTTAAGCTTTGTATTTCTTCAATAAATGTTTTCTATTTCTTAAAATTTGTCCTGCAGTTACAATATGACATCATTGATCAGCTTATGTTATAAAGGGGCTGACATTGTAGACGAGATCCCCTTAATGGACTTCACAGCTTTAAACATAATGATATGGTTAGGCTTCATGTCCACATTCAAATCTAATCTTAAATTGTAATCTCCATAATCCCTGTAATCCCATGTATCAAGGGAGAGACCAGGTGGAGGTAATTGAATCATGGGGGTGGTTCCTCAGGCTGTTCTTGTGATGGTGATTGAGTTCTCATGAGATCTGATGGTTTTATAAGGTGCTCTTCCCCCTTGGCTTGGCACTTCTCCTTCCTGCCACCTTGTGAAGAGGTTGTCTTGCTTCCCCTTTGCCTTCTGTCACGATTATAAGCTTCCTGAGGCCTCCCCAGCCATGCTGAACTGTGAGTCAATTAAACCTTTTTCCTTTATAAATTACTCAGTCTCTCAGTTATTTATAGCAATGTGAAAACAGATTAATACATACAAGTAAAGCAAATTAATACATACAAGTAAAGAAATTAGAAAAATATAACAGAAAATAATGTGTTATAACTAGGAAGATAGCCATTCATTTGAATATACTCCTTATACTTGCATTCCTCTCTTTGCAGCTAGAAAAATATGATTTTTATATTCAGAAGGTGATAGTTTCCTATGTTAAGACTTTTTATACCATTAACAAATCATGAGTTCAGATTTAATGTAAATTTAATTTTGAAGGGATTTACATAAGACCATTTTCCATGGACAGTGTGTCATTACAAGAAATTTGAACACTGCATAGTTTGTTTGCTTGTTAATTGCTTAACATGAAATATATAAATAAATGAAATGTGTTTGCATTTTATTAATAATTATTATGAGCATTTAAATGCCAAGTTACTTGAGTGTAAGTATATGTAGAAGCAAAATGCTTCTAATTTAATAAATATGGTAAAATATAATCTTCAAATTAACAATAGTTAATTGATCTACAAATGAATCAATTTACCAAAAGTGAATAAATGCTATGACTTGGATGATGAGAGGTCTAATTTGAGTAATATTTTTAATGTTAATTTTGTCCAGTGAGCGTTCTAGCTTTTTAAAATATTTTAACTTTCGTTTTAGGTTCAAGGGTACATGTGTAGGTTTGTCCTTAGGTAAACTTGTGACTCAGGAAATCACCAGGGTACTAAGCATAGTACTCAAAAGTTCTTTTTTCTGAACCTCTCCTCCTATCCTCTTTCCTCAGGTAGACCCCATTATCTGTTGTTCCCCTTTTTCTATATGTTCTCATTCTTTGGCTCCCACTTATAAGTGAAAACATGCAGTATTTGGTTTTCTGTTCCTGCATTAGTGTGCTAAGTATAATGGCCATCAGCTCCATCCATGTTCCTACAAAGGACATGGTCCTGTGGTTTTTTTTATGGCTGCATAGTATTCCAAGGTGTATGTGTACCACATTTTCTTGAATGAGTCTACCGTTGATGGGCTTTTAGGTTGATTCCATTTCTTTGCTATTATAGTGAACATACCAGTGCATGTGTCCTTATGGTAGAACAATTAATATGCCTTTGAGTATATACCCAGTATTGGATTGCTGAGTTGAATGGTCATTCTATTTGTAGTTCTTTGAGGAATCACCACACAAATCACCACACTGCTTTTCACAGTTGTTGAACTAACTTAGTTGCAGATTTTATGAACGTCATGAATTGAAAAGGCTGGCTTTGATCTTCTCCATCATTATTTTAGGAGAGAAGAAAATGTTGTGTAGAGTAAGTTTATATACTTTCAGAAAAAAAGTAGAAGAAAATGCTCAGTTCTACATAAAATTTAAATAGATGACAACTTTGAATTTTGTCTCATTGCTTCATGCTAAAAGTAATATATAGGTAGGTATTGATTAGGTTATAAAGCCTATCAAACATACACATGTGACTAACACATTCAGGCTCTCTTCAGTGGTTGTATTAGTCAAAATTGGCAGTTAATGCTTTACTGTTAGCCCTGAAAATTCCAGTGGTTTAATTCAATGAAGAATTATTTCTGACTCAGGCTATATATTTAACGTGGGTCAGCAGGGAGTTTCTTTTACCTTCCACTCAGATTAAGAGGGAATCTTGGCCAGGCACAGTGGCTCACGCCTGGAATTCCAACACTTTGGGAGGCCGAGGCAGGCTGATCACGAGGTCAGGAGTTCGAGACCAGTCTGACCAACATGGTGAAACCCTGTCTCTACTAAAAATACAAAAATTAGCTGGGCATGGTGGCGCACACCTGTAATGCCAGCTACTCAGGAGGCTGAGGCAGGAGAATTGCTTGAACCTGGGAGGCGGAGGTTGCAGTGAGCCAAGACTGCACTATTGCACTCCAGCCTGGTGGACAGAGTGAGACTCCACCTCAAAAAAAAAAAAAAAAATAGGGAATCATAAGCCCTGGTTTCATGGTCACTTGGAAACAAGAAGAGAGAGTGCTGAATCTAGCACTGGCTGCTATTGCCTGTAATTAACATTTTTGTTAACACTTTACTGGCCAAATAAAGGTCACATGTCTTTGCCTGATTTTGGAGATTTGGAAGCATGAAATCTCATCATGCATTGGTATGCCAGACTGCTATTAACTTCAGTAGTGATGGTACCAGGTTCAAGAGACCAAAGCAAAGACCCAGAACCAGCAAACAAGACATATGGTTTATTAGTGGGAACTTACATACAGGGATGGTCCAGTGGCAGGAGGCTGGACAGGAGAACTGCAATCACTTATAAAAGGCATGCAGTTTACAAAGCGCCTTCACTTAGTGCCCTTCCGCTAGCAACCTCCACATGGTAACGGTCATAAGTTATTGCTGTCAGATGCATCATTCTCACGGTATGCTGGTTATTGTTGTTAGATGTGTCAACTATACACTTGCCTAGAAGGCATGGAACCTGAGTATTTAGTAAATGTAATTTACGATAATACATGCTGAGTATTGGCCCTAGGTCATTGCTGGATAATGCTACATCTATCATCCATGTCAGAAGTTAAAATATATGTGCCAACATTTTTTGAGAATTGATATATTCACTTCAACATACGCTGATATATGCTAGATGTGATGATTCCTTTAATAATTGAGAATAGTGTCAGGTTATAAAGATCACATGCATCCAATGAAGCACATCACTAGGTAAAGTTGAGAGATATAGTTGGGCGAGACTGGGCATTGAGTGAACATTTTTTATCTGAGAGAAGTATCATATTAATATTAGATCAGAACTCTTAAAATTGGATTCTATAATGGGAATACTTTTTAATGGGAGAACAGTAGGTATTTTAGTCCATGTAAAACAGCTTACAGTCCACAGTTTATAATTAGATGTTTTCATTTTTTTCTTACTCTTTATTTTATAATGTTGTATTTTGAAATGAATTAAGTACTTAGTTTAACTGATATTCTATGGCATTGTATGAAACACACTAAGAATATTAAGTGTATTATTGCTGTTAACTTTCTATTCTTAACAGATATATTTACTAAGTTATCAATCTAAATGTCTATTAATTTGGTGGGGACACTAAGCTGAGAGAAAAGCAGAGACCAGTGGAAAACTTAAACTGCCTCTTGTGTACCGTAACATGACTTCATGTTTCATAACAATCAAAACAAATCATTAGAGCTTTTGCTGCTCATGAGAGAAGTCTTTGATCATTTAAGAAGTCTTATTAATAATAATCTTTAAACTCATTTTTATGCATAAAACATAAGTTGTATTTAAAAGATGAGTATATATTTCATTGTGTTTATTACATATTGGATTTTAAGCACAAAGCATTTCTTAATGGCATTTCATAATTTTTATTTTAACAATGAATATCCTAAATATGATAAAATTAAAGGTCATTTTATGTTCACAACATATTAATTTGAGATATATATTCCATATCAATTTCTAATTTATATAAAATTTTAACATTTATGGAAATCTTTCAAGGCACATAAAATGTAAGTTTGCTATTCATTATTCATAAACTATGGAACATAAATCTTTTAAGTCATTATTTAAACATTTAATAAAATGCAATAAACCTTTATATCTATATTTAAGAGTTTTTCCGCCCAAAGGCCAGCAGTATGTGAAATAATTTGTTCTTATGCTGTCAATCAGAGACATATCTTATTTAACAGTCGACACTAGAAGAGAAAAATTATTCATAACCTAGAGATCACACTGTAGGCCTATTTACTTTCTCAACCTTCTCACACTTACATTTATACAAACAACTGAATGCTTCATCGATCGTTAAAAATCTACCCAGAAATATTTCCAAACCACGGTCTTTCACGCATGAGGAGCCTATATATTTCAAGCATCAGACAATTAACATTTTGTAGAAAATAATTCTATGGTAAGGCAGAGATATAAAGAGTAAAACAAAGATTTCCTAGTTACTTTCCTTGATTAGATGGAATTTTGAGGTTTGTAATTGCTATAACAAGCATTATGTTGCTGAAAACAGGTATTAGATTAGGGGGATACATATGAGGAATGTGCTAGTAAACAATAGACCTAAAGAAGTTAGGTACAGGTGATAGACTAGGATTTCCTCAAAGTTTTATTAAATTGGATGGTTATGATTTGCCCCATCCTCCTCATCTCCTTTTATCTGACTACCTTACCTTTGGTTTCATTTTTTAAGAAGTTATTCTGTTCATTAAGGCTGTGTAAAACACTGGAATTATATAAACCTATACATCCTGTCCTTATTTCTATCATACAAAGTACATTCCACTTTGAACACTGTATTGTAATTGAATGTTTACTAGAGGTCACCTCTTTTAGGACAAGAACTGATCTATAAAATGAAGATACAGAGATCTACTTGTAAAGTGGTTGTGAAGATAGTGCCTAGAAAGCACTTAGCCCAGCCTGTGACATGTAAAAGGCTAACTATTCATCCCTAGCACCCAGCAAAGTAACTGGGGCTTTTTTGGTGGGTAATAAATGTTTAAATCAATGAATAATTAAAATTCACCCTGAGTGAATGGAATAAACTATGTACATTGGAATATAGTAGGTTAGCATTAAAGATGGTGGGGAAAGGTCATAAATTCAAGGTCAGAATTGTTGGAATGGATTTTTTTTCTTCTTTTCTGTGCTTGTATTTTAGAGCAAATGACAGCATGCTTTACAAAGAATTAAAATTTCTAAGTTCTGATCCTGGTTTTGCAAACAGTTATCTTTGTGACATTAGAGAAGTTTTCTAACTATTTTAAACATTCATTTCTAATTGTACAAAGATGCTTAACTCCATTATTTCCAAGGTCCTTTGAGTAACAAAGTTACGATGATATGAAAATTTCCTTGACGTTGATGACCGGCCTGAGCAATTAGCTGGCCAGGATGAGGGACACTCCTATTGGGAAGCGAGTGGGTATTGTCTTGTTTTGTCGTGCTTCAGTAACCTCAGAAGCAGGAAAAATTTGAGAGCTCTCCTGACCCTATGGAAAATGAGGAATGCTCATATGCCTACATGATTCCTAGAGATGCAGAAATGAAAAATAAAATAGATTTGTTCGTGAAGCATGAATTTAATGATAACAGAAAGAAGTTCAAATTTGCATTACAGAACCGAAGCTGTGTGGGAGTTACAATTTTGCTACAGATAATCCTCATTTCACTAACAAGAAGATGTATTAGTTAGGGCAAGGCAATACTGACCCAATAATACAATTGCTGAAAGTCAATGGCATAGGTCCATGGGGCAGCTCTGCTCCACTCAGCCATTCAAGAACCTATGTTTCTTGTAAGTTACCATCGTATTTAGGGCATCGTATTCATCTGTGTGGTCAAAACTGGGTTACTACAACATCTGGTTTCCAGCTGGTAGAGAAGAAGAATGATTATACAGGAGCACGTGTGTAATGAAGGTAACAGACATCATTTCTTCTCACTGTTTTAGTTGTTTTTTTTTTTTTAATGAGAACTTAGTTAAATGAACACATTTTAAATCAAAGCATATATTTTTTGCTATATGTCCAGGAAGAAAAAGAGAATAGATTTTAGTGAACATATAGAAGTCTCTGCCAGGCACAGTGGCTCACACCTGTAATCCTAGCACTTTGAGAGGCCGAAGGAGATGGATCTGTTGAGCCTAGGAGTTTGAGACCAGCCTGGGCAACAAGGAAAACTTTCTTTACCAAAAAAAACCCCAAAAAACAAAACACAAAAAAGAAATCTCTACCACTGAAGGTGACTATAAGACTTTTTTTTAATCAAAAGATAAATGGCCAGTGTATTCAATATGCGTTATCTGATGAAGTATTGTATACTTTTGATTCATCTATGATCATATCATAAATATATACTTTAATATAATCATGATACAGTATAAACATATAATATACAGTGTAGCTATTAATATTTTCTTAAAATTATGTTTAATAGATTGGAAATGAGTTCACAGTAAACTGTTAATTTAAAATACTGTTATGAAACAACAAATCCAATTTTTGTAAATAAATCTAGTATCTATATATAGGAAATGTTGGAATAATATACATGAATATGTTAGTAGCAGTCATTGCTGAAGTTTCTTAGCTAGTTATATTTTCTGATTTTACCAATGAACATGCATTTATCCTATAAATAAGTAAAAGTAACTCAAATTTTATGTAAAAACAAAATTTGAGGATTTTGAAATGATCACAGGGGAATTAAATTCAAGTTTATTCTACTTCAGCTATGGTACTGCTAGAATTACTAATTTCTTTATCTAAAAGCTTCAGATAGGCTTTTCAAATCCCAAAGCAGAAAACTTGGATGAAAGAATGTGGGAAGGAAGGTGTTAAAAGAGCTGGCTGTGATCCTCTGTTTCTCCCATGATTAATATGATAATTTTTTGGTCAGTTCAGGCTGTCATAACAAAATACCATAGGCTGACTGGGTGCTGAAATAGAAATGCATTTTCTCAGAATTCTTCAGGCTGGAAGTCTGAGATCAGGGTGCCTGTATGGTTGGGTTCTGGTAAGGGCTCTCTTCCTGTCTTGTAGACAGTATTCTTGCTTTGTCCTTCTCCCTATGCCACCATATGGCATATTGGGTGTGGGAGGTGGGAATGGAGAAAAAAGGGTAAAAGAGTGACAGCATATGACACACCCTGGTGCCTCCTTATAAGAGCACTAATCCCATCAGAACAGTACCCCACCCTCAAGATCTAATTGCTCCATCTCCAAATACTGTCACCTTGGGGGTTATAGCTTTAACATATGAGTTTTAGAGGACATAAACTTTCAGTCTGTGACAAGAAAATGTTACAAGAGAAAATAAAAAAAGACAGATAACTGGTCTACTTTTCTTGTATATATAACTAGACCTCTAGGTAAACAGACTAATGGTATTTCCTAAGAGGAGTGTTTTAAATCTATAAAATACTTTGAATGAGTTGCCTCTTTTTTGTATCTACTTTTGGTAAACTAACCTGCGATGTAGATGTATAGGTTCATGAAGCATAGCTCCCTGGTGAATATCACATAAGCTGTACAAGTGTTACGGATATAAAATGGAGCTGTTTCATAACTTAAACCTCTCCCTGCATGGTGAGACAATCCACAACCCTAACTTTGAGATCTTAACTTTTATTCTGTCTAGAAAGCACATGCCTGATGAAGGAAGGAGAAGCTGGGAGCCATGCAAGATGTAATAGACATCTCCTTGCTATTTTTGTGCCATTCTTTCTTATATTCTTAAATTACTAATAAAACTTGATACTGGATAGAATCTCTACTCTGCATGAGTCTGACTTAACAACTTAATATTTTATGTTAACTTGAAAAAAACCACTAGTTGTGACTTGTGGTTCTCTCTAAGTAATATAAAAACGGTGCTATTATTAGAATAGTTGCATGTTGTAACAAATTCACATAAAAAGTCTTATCACAAAACCCATGAAAGCATAAAAACATAAAGTGAATATCTAAAATGAGTGAAACATTTGAAAATGAGTCTTTATTTATTATCTATATGATGTAGTTGCTTAAACGTTTTCATTCTGTTTATGTATGTGTCCTGATGTTGAAGATTTGCTTATTCAGTACTCCAGCCACGTTATACAAGGCAGCAATGTTTTACTATCAGAAAACTTGATTCCTTTTTCAAGAGAATTTCAGATTTCTATTAAATAGCATTATTTTTTCCTTTCCAAACCAAAATAAAGAAGATAAACATAAAGGCTTAATATCAGCATCAAATTGTCTTTTTTTATATCAATTCATGAGTTTTTGTCCATATGCAATATATTCAACAATTAGGAATTCGGTTAAAATATAACCAAAATAATCTGATCTTTAATACAATGACTTGCTGTCCTTTTTCTTTCCCCTTTAAAGGAAGCACTTTCTCTAAACTGAGTCTAACAGAAAGTTTTATGCATTCAAGTTTATACACATTCTGCCTGGAACACCCCTCTGGTTCAGTGTTGCTTTTAGCTTGTCATGGGTCATTCTCTGGTAACAATGATGATCACCTGAAACTCTGATCATTTATTTACTTACTATGCACATGTCTACTCTCTACTGTAGTCAAAAAGATGGGGTGGAGTATGCTTCTTTTTTTTTTTTTTTTTGCTTCTTTAGTCTTTAGTCCCTACAAGGCTAACATCCAAGTCTGCATAAGTTTCCAGTAGAGATGCATCAAATTTTGGCTTCAGCCATGATATAAGGCCAAAATTGGTTACTTGTCATCATTTAGCTTTTGGTCTTTGTTAGCTGAATGAGCAATATCTACTTTAATGTTATCCAAATATCATTAAGAACAGAACAAACATGGAAGTGCTATCAACAGTTTTGGAAGCATACAATGTTTTATTCCAAAAAGTACATTTTGTATGCAGAATTCAAAATTCACAGGCTATGTCACAAAGTTACTCAGTTAGCAAAATAAAAATGGGCCTCTTTCATCATTTTTCTTCAGGTTTGGAAATCTGCATAATAAGCAAAAAAAGAGTGGAATTTTTTTCATGCAATTATATATTTAAATTATCTGAAAGAACAATGACTGCATGTTTAAAAACATTTCCTGAAAAAAGTTGTAATATTATACTTTGCTGATACAAATACTGAAGTAAATATGTAACGAATGGCATACTAATACCAAAGTGGACTTACTAACAATCAATGATTGCTTTAGAAAGAAGAAATCATTCACTAAAAATTAATCACACAACCAAACTGATATCTCCTGCATTCAGATGTTTCTTACATGATGACTGTGTCCTGTTCCTGGAAATAATTGCTCAAGTTGGTACATGTGCAATAAAACTGAGATGCAATTGGGAATTTGGAGGCAATTTTATTATCAGAAAAGTCAATCATACACATTCAACGCAACTTTTATAGACTGGAGATTTAAGGGCGTTTCCTCAAGTGATTGTGTTATATAGCCTAAATGTAAATGAAAAATTAGAAATAAAAGTTAGAGTGAGGGCAGTAAGTCTGCTTCTGCAAATACTCAGAAAGCATCTTCCTTAAGCTGTGCACAAAGCTTCAGTTTCTAAGATTGCTTCAGTGAAATTACAACATCACCATAGGTGAAATCTGTTAGTCTAGGAGTTAAAGAAGAGCTGTCTTTAAATAGTTATTATTAAAGATAAAAGAAAGCAAGAATTTGTGGCGACAAGATCCTTGACTGTAATCTATTCAGGTTTATCTGGACCAAAACATATCTTACCCCTCCACTAATCACAATTAAAAGTGAGCATACATTTAGTACTACAAATATTTAATGCAGTATCTTCAGAAGGAATTAACAAGTGATAATACTGAGAAGTAGTTTTCTGTAATGTCAGAATAATAACAAAAAGGAACTTGATACTATTATTTTAAAATAATAGTTATATCACAGCCTTATGAAGTGTTTTAACTTCATTTGTATATCTTAAATCTTTATGATATTATTTAAGTTCCATCTTGGTTAGGAATAAATTGTGATTTCAACACTCAACTATTTAGTAGTTAGCCAAAAGTTCCACTTTTTTGTGGCTGGGGGTGGGGTTGGGGGTGGGCGGCACAGGATCTTGCTCTGTCGCCCAGGCTGCAGTGCAGTGGCACAGTCAGGACTCACTGCAGTCTCAACCTCCGGGGCTCAAGCAATCCTCCCACCTCAGTCCCCTGAGAAGCTGGGACTACAGGCAGGCACCACCATATCTGACTAAGTTTTATTATTATTATTATTATTATTATTTTAGTAGTGATGAGGTCTCATTATATTGCCTAGGTAGATCTCAAACTTCTGAACTCAAGTGATCTGCCTGCCTTGGTCTCCCAAAGTGCTGGGATTACACACGTGAGCCACGGTGCCCGGCCAATTCCATTTTCAATAAAACCTTTTTTTTTTTTTTTTTCTGAAGGCTCAGGACAATGAAGGAAATTACATTGTAAGAAGTTAAAGGTTAAAATTCCAGCAAACTTGGTCTTTTCTTGGACTCAGAAAGAGAGTCCCCAGTGGACATCTCCCTTCACTCTTTATCTGAATTTCTTGACTTCAGGTTGACATGCAAAACTCAAATCTTTTTCCACAATGAGCAAACTTGCTCTGGCTTCCTCCACCTTACCCCTGTGCCCACCTCCACCCTGGATGACACCATCTCAAGCTGCACCCAGCACTAATGTTTCACAAGTATCTGGGAGGAGGGTAAGTGCAGGGGATGTGCTGTAGATAGGCTCGTATGCCTCCTTCGGGTCAGAGAAACACTTTTCTTTCCATTTAAATTTCCTTTTCAATATTACTTTCAGTGGGAGCTGCAGGCCTGCTGACCCTCTACTATTACACAATAAATGGTGACCTATTTAATACATACCTCTTTTCCAAGGACAAGCATTAATATTTGAAGAGACAGTGTGCCTTTAGTTCATATTTAGAAATAATATTTCCTACATTAACAACGTTTCTGCCCTGCCCTTGGAGTACCTTGTTCCCCAATGTTGCTCTGAGGGGCTTTTAATTTCTTTTCCATTTTTTCTCTATTGCCCACAGGAATCATAAAAATTTACATTAGTCCTTAATGTCCACTTTTATTGAAATCTAGGGACACACTTGCTGTCCCTTTCCACTCCTTGGAGTCAGAGCCTCTCTTTGATTTAAAGAAAATGGAAGCTGATGATTACTGATATGTCCTACAACTGACCCATGAATAAATAAAGACCCGAATAGTCATTAATATGCTGCATAGCAAGTAGACATACACAAGGAGAAAGGTTAGAATTAAAATAATAAAATAATAATCCACACTTCAGTCAGTAGCACATATAATTTCATCTTACCCTAGCTTCTAGAGGGTAAAATGGCTAACTCCTCTCAAGGGGTCCTCAGAGTGGGCTGAGGCTAGAGAATTCTTTTCCAGAACTGGAATAACTTGAAGTAGAATCTTCAAAACTATGACCAACCAGTAATCGTAAAATTAATATCGAAAATCATCTCATAATAAGGAAGCTAGATCTGGTCCTGCAGCGGAGGAATATGGGCTGGAGAAAGGGACAGTATTTCTTGGCCCTGTGGAAGGAACAAGCAACTGGACAAAACAGGGAGTTGTTCCATGGAAACACAGGAGGCTGGATTTTCTTGTCCTCTAACAATAGATTTTAATCATCTGGTGTTCTAAGAGGATCATGGTATCCAAGGAAAGATGTGCTTGTTTCCAGATAATGTACTGACTTGCTCATTTGTTCACTTATTCAACCACTTACTATTGAGTTTTGGGCTCTGGAATTATCCACTGTAGTGAGTAAAATAGACAAAGATCACTGTCTTCATCGAGCTGACGTTATACAGAGGAAAGGCAGACAAGAAACAAAATAAAGAAATAATAATAATAGTCTAATTGTCATAAGTGCTATGAGGGAAAAGCAGGAAAGGGGGAAAGGGATAGCCTGGTGAGGAGTGGATGTAAAGATTTGAAAGAGGGTTGAGCACAGTGGCTCACAGCTGTAATCCCATCACATTGGGAGGCCAAGACGGGAGAATTGCTTGAACCAGGAGTGCAATACCAGACTGGGCAACACAGCAAGGCCTTGTCTCTACCAAAAAAAAAGAGAAGATCTTAAAGAGGTTGGGCTGGGCGTGGTGGCTTACACCTGTAATCTCAGCACTTTGGGAGGCTGAGGAGGGAGGATCACTTGAGCCCAGGAGTTCAATACCAGCCTGGGCAACACTGCCAGACCCTTAATATATTTTTAAAAATGTTCTATGAGGGATGGAACAATAAAAATAAAATAAAATGTATTTTTTTAATTAGCTGGGCATGGTGGTGTGGGGCTAGAGTCCCAGCTACTTGGGAGGCTGAGGCAGGTGGATGACTTGAGCCTGAGATGTCCTTGTTCCTGCCACTGCACTGAAGCCTGAGCAATAGAGGAAGAACCTGTAACAAAAAAAATTTTTAAGTGTTAAAACAGAGGTTGGTCCCTAAGAAGGTGATATTTGAGCAAACACCTGAAGGAGAAGAGAGAATGAGCTCTGACATCTGCAAGATGAGAGTTCCAAGTAAAGGGGGCACAAACCAAAGACCATGAGGCAGAATGTGCCTGAAAAATTTCATAAACAGCAAGGAGGCTAGCAGAGCTGGAAAGAAGTGAGCACAGGAGAAAAAGTAGGAGTTAGAGGAATAATGGGACGTTAGAATCATGCACAGACTTGTGTGACATTGTATGAACTTTGTCCTTTTCTTTGACTGAGCGGGGGTTATCTTTGAGGATTTGGGTAGAATAGTGACATAATCTGACTTATGTTTTAAAATAATCACTGTGATGGCTTTATGCAGAATAAAAGAGCAGGGAGGAGAAGTAGAAAGATGATTTGGAAAGATATTAAAACAAGCCAGGGCAACATAATATGATGGCTTGGAACAGGGGTATATCATATATAGGGAGAGATGTAGAGAGATTCAGAATATATTTTAAAAAAATAAACAACAGTATTTGCTGAAAATTGGATGTGAATTAAGAAAGAGGAGTGAAAGATCTATTCAGGTTTTTAATTCAACAAAGAGAATTGTAGAAATATATTTGTAGCAGATGTATTTGTATTAACCCCAAACTGGAAAGCACCAAAATGTCCATCAACAAGAAAACAGATAAAATTTGGTGTAGGCTTAAAACAAACAAACAAAACCTTTATAATAAAAAGAAACTGATCCACCCCACTCCATGGGGGAGTTTCTAGTATGTTACAACTTTTGTAAAAATAATTTTTAATTTTAATTTTTATGGGTACATAGTAGGTGTATATATTTATGAAGTAGATGAGATGTTTTGATTCACGCATGCAATGTTTAATAATCACATCATGGAAAGTGGGGTATCTATCACCTGCAACTATTTTTCAATGAAATTAATGTATTCTACCATTCATCAGTCTTTGTGATGATACCTAATATAGTTAGATCCTGAGCAAATGTAATTATTTACATTTTTTAATTAAGAAATAATTTGCTTACATTGAAATGTGCAGTTTTTAGAAGTACAGTCCATGCATTTTGATAGAGGCATACATTAATATGTCTGCAGCCTTTCAAGATCTAAAATACTTCCATCACCTTAGAAAAATCTGTCGTGCTGATCTCAGGCAATCCATAACCACCATCCTCAGGAATCACTGCTCTAATTTACTTGATCACATATTAATTTTGCCTGTGTAAGAACGCATATAGGTGGAATCATACAATATTCATTCTTTTGTGTCTGGCTTCTTAAATTTTGCATAATATTTTTGTAGTTGATCCATATATTTTTGGTGGATCAGTTTCTCATTATTATAAAGGTTTTATTTGTTTGTTTTAAGCCTACACAAAATTTTGTCTGTTTTCTTGTTGATGGACATTTTGGTTGCTTTCCAGTTTGGGGTTAATACAAATAAATCTGCTACAAATATATTTGTACGATTCTCTTTATTTACATGTGTTTTTATTTCATGTAAATAAATAACTAGGAGAGGCATTGACAGATCATGGGGTAGTTGTATACTTACCTTCATGAGAAATGACTAAACTGACTTTCAAACTGGCTTTATTGGTTTATACTTCCACAAACACTGTACAAAAATTACAATTGCTCCACACACTTGCCAAGATGGGGTGTTGTCTTTTTTTTTTTTTTCTGAGACAGGGTCTTGCTCTGTCGCCCAGGCTGGAGTGCAGTGGCGTGATCTCAGCTCACGGCAACCTCTGCCTCCTGGGTTCAGGTGATTCTCCTGCCTCAGCCTCCCGAGTAGCTGGAACTACAGGCGCCTGCTACCACACCTGGCTAATTTTTGTATTTTTAGTAGAGACGGGGTTTCACCATTTTGGCCAGGCTGGTCTCGAACTCCTGACCTCAAATGATCCACCCACCTTGGCCTCCCAAAGTGCTGGGATTATGGGCGTGAGCCACCATGCCTGGCCTGTCATTTGTTTTTATATTAGACCTTCTGGTAAATATTGTGGTATTAGCAGTTTTCTGATGGCTACTGATGTTAACTACGTTTTCTTGTGCATGTAGGCCACTTTTATATCTTGTTTTCTGAGAGGCCAATTCAAGATATTAGGTTAACTTAAAATTTTTATTGTTTGTCTAATTTATAATGAATTGTAGGAGATATTTACATATATTCTGGATTCAAGGCCTTTGTCAGATACATGTAATGACAATATTCTCCCACAATCAGTGACTTGACTTGCCTATTCATTGTCTTAACATTGTCTTTTTGATAGGGGAGTGCTGGGAAGGGAAGAACGTGGTCCCTTTAAATGATAAGGAAGAGGCAACAGGGAAGTGCTGGGTAGAGGAGGGTGTGGTCCCTGGCTAGGGCTCTACCCCCAGGGACTTAGATAATGACAGGCACTTCTGCTTCGCCCCAAATGTTGCGTGTTCCAAGACCACCATGGCCCACCACGACCCCATCCTGGGCCTGTAAAAACTTGAGACCCAGCAAGGCAGAGACAGAAGCTACTGAACAGTGAGAGGAACACATCAGCCAAAGAAGACAAGCGGCTGAACATTGAGAGGAAGTCGAGGGAGCACGCCATAGGAGGCCAGCAGGCTTGCAAGCCATTGACTGACTGACTGAAGGGAAGACGCGGAGTGTGGCTGCAGCAGTCCGAGGAGAGCTGGGGCCGCCAGGCGACCCAAGTCCAGGGGAAGACCATCTCCCTTCCGGCTCCCCCATCGGCTGAGAGCTACTTCCACTCAGTAAAACTTTACATTCATTCTGCAAGCCCACTTGTGTTCCTATTCTTCCGGTACACCAAGGCAAGAACCCGGGATACAGAAAGCCCTCTGTCCTTACAACAAGGTAGAGGGTCTAATTGAGCTGGTTAACACAAGACACTTATAGACGGTAAACTAAAAGAGCACCTTGTAACACCCACTAGGGCTTCAGCTGTAAACATTTACCCTCGACACTGCCTTGGGGTCGGAGCCCCACAGCCTGCCCTTCTGTATGCTCCCCTAGAGGTCTGAGCAGCAGGGCACTGAAGAAGTGAGCCACATCCCCATCGCACGCCCAGCGAGGGGTACAAGGGAACCTTTCCCATTTCAACTGGGGACCTCTCCTGGGATCTTGGAAGGTAAGTGTGAACCAATGCGAAACTGTCAGGTCGGACCCTCTCCCAAAACCCTCATCTGTCTTTCCTGCGGGTGAGAGGCTCTGTCTTCCTTCACGGAGTTTGAAAAACTGCCCTGGCCGGGCGCGGTGGCTCACACCTGTAATCTCAGCACTTTGGGAGGCCTAGGTGGGCAGATCACAAGGTCAGGAGATGGAGACCATGCTGGCCAACATGGCAAAACCCCGTCTCTACTAAAAATACAAAAATTAGCTGGGCGTGGTGGCGGGCGCCTGTAATTCCGCTACTCGGGAGGCTGAGGCAGGAGAATCGCTTGAACCCAGCAGGCAGAGGTTGCAGTGAGCCGAGATCACACCACTGCACACCAGCCTGGCGACAGAATGAGACCGTCTCAAAACAAAAAACAACAACAAAAAAACTGCCCTAACCAGGCAAGTCGAAACCCACAGATTTCTCTCTCACAGGGTTTAAAATAGCTCTTCTCTTAAGAATGTTTTGCTACAGGCTATGGCAATGTTACTAAGTAAAATGAGCATTAGGCTCAGCTGCCAAATGCGCAAATCAGACCAGCTGTTCCTAGAGATGCCATTTATTTCTCTACCCCAACAGCCGCAGGCATGCACGGCTCAGGGCACCTCCTGTTACCCTTTCCCCTCCCAGTCTGGACGCCTAGGTGTGTCCGCAGCAGGCAAAGGCTGAGCCCAACAGCAACTAGGGGGACTGAAGAAGCGAAACACACCCCCATCGCACGCCCTGCGAAGGGGGAAAAGGGAACCTTCCCCGTTTCAACTGGGGGCTCTTTGATGAATCAAAATTGTAATTTTGATGAAGACAAGTCTATTGTTATTCATGCAAGATTGGTGCTTTCTTTTTCCTGTTCAAAGTCTTTTCATACCAGTTCTACCAGTTTGCAAAGATAGTCTCCATTTCTATGGTTCATTGAGATTAATTTTTGTGTTTGATAAATATGATCTAAGTTTCCTTTTTTTTTTTCCTTAAGAGTGGCTAGTTGTTTCACACCATTTGTTGAGGAGACTATCCTTTCTCCATTAAATTTTTTTGGCACCTTGGGCAAAAATCAATTCACCGTTGTAACTGTGGGTTAATTTCAGGACAGTCTATTCTGCTCAATTGAACTAGTTGTGTATATTTATGCTCACAATACACTGTCATGATTAATTAAGAAATCTAAGTCAATCTAAGTCAGTCTACAGTGTTTTGCTTCAATTTGGTTTTCAGTATCTTTAGGATCTTTTATATCCATTGAATTTTCATATACATTTCCATATACATGATATTTCCAACTACATTTCCAATTGGCTGGTCAATTTAAAAACAAGTCTGAGTTTTTGATCAGCATTATGTCGAATTCATAGATAAACTTGATGAAAATTTACATCTTATAAAAGCGTCCTCTAATATGATTGCGGTTTATCTCTCCACGTATTAAAGTCTTCTTGATTTTCTTCTAACAATATTTTGTAGTTTTTCCAATATCAAGGTCTTATAAAGATTTCAGCCAATTTAGTTTTAACTAAGGTTTTTGTTGTTACTGTATACCTATTGTTTTAATTTTTATTTTACAGTTGTGTTGCCAGTGTGTCAAAAGACAATTTTTATTGACCTTGTATTTTGTGACTTGAGCATCTCCCAGTCCTATGCAAGAGCCATGACTCCCTGATTTAAAAATAGAATTTATTTTTAAATATTTTATTATTGTGCTTGATATAATCTAAGAATCATTACAATTTTAAAAATATGTATTTGGAAAGATTAAGAAATTTAGACAAACAGGAGTTGTTTTATAAGAAATCATTAGTAAGAGTAACTTCATTTAATCTGTTTTTCTTTCTCATCTAATTTAGATTTGTTTGTGGAATGAGTAGCTTTAAGAAAAGATGTAACTTTGTAGCATATGATATTTTGAGATAGGTCAAGTTTAGGGGACTGTCAATGAGAAATCTAACAGCAAGAGTCAGTTTGAAGACATTGGGTTCTTTGGGAGTAACATACTGGGTGGGAAAAGTTAAGAGTAACTCACAGGTGAAATCATCAGTCAAAATTATATTTAAAATTTTGGGCCAGGCACGGTGGCTCACACCTGTAATGCTACACCTGTAGCATTTTGGGAGGCCGAGGTGGTTGGATCACCTGAGGTCAGGAGTTTGAGACAAGCACGGCCAACATGGTGAAACCCCGTCTCTACTAAAAATACAAAAAATGGGCTTGGCTGGACGTGGTGGCAGGTGCCTGTAATCCCAGCTACTCGGGAGGCTGAGGCAGGAGAATTGCTTGAACCAGCAGGCGGAGGTTGTAGTGAACCGAAATTGCACCACTGCACTCCAGCCTGGGTTACACGGCAAGACTCCATCTCAAAAAAAAAAAAAATTTTTTTTTTTTTTTGCTGTGAGTTAGTCACTTTCTTGTTTATAATTCTTTCTGAATAGAGGAACAAGGGTCACATCTCAGACCTGAGTACAGGCCTAGCTGTGTACAGCAACTGCGAATTTTGCGTTTTTCAGTGTGTGTTTTAAAAAGTGCCATTTCTACGAACTTTCTTCCTAGAAAAAATCCAGGACCATTGTGTAAACAAGAAGAAGAGTTTATATCCAAATACCAAACCTTGTTGCTGTAGAAAATGGTCCTAATCATGATCTAATTTTCATAGCAAAAGTCAATTGTGTTGGAACTCAACAAAATCCAACTAATGTATATGTGACTTCTGTTTTATTTCTCCTTAAAATTCATTAGGCCATACCTTGAAAATGAAAATCTTGGACTTTGGAGATTGCACGGTTCGCTAGTGAATGTTAGAGGGCTCGAAACTGAGAAAAATACATTATATTCTAGAGTCTAAAGTATAAACATTTATGTAAGACGTCATATCTCTGGGACTCATCATCTAAAAAATAGAAATAATAAATTCCTGTTTCCTATATAACCATTAAGCATGATAGAATATTGCATGTTATGGAAAAATTCTTTTTATCTAAAAGAAATGTCAGTTTCCTCAAACATGTTATTTTACCCAATGGCCTAGTTGCTGAACCGATTAGTTTCTAAAGAGATTAGTTTATCTCTTGATACATTGGCTGTTTGGTTTGAGATAAACCGTATTTTCCCATTCACCTAAGGAACCTAAGTAACGTCTCCTAAAGTCTGACGATTATACATCATATTTATAGAATGTTTGAAACTCCCACTCCTGAATTTGCACTTGGAAAGTGTACAGTCAGAAAAGAAAGTAGCAACAAACTATATAAGGAGACAGAGTATAAGAAAATATTTTTCAGAGCCCATTTACCTCCATCATGAGCGGTGAATTTAAACTGGCTCATTGGAAAGCAGCACATATATTTTGTCTCTACACCAGGCATAACCGCTGCTGGATCACATAAGTACTTTCTTCCCATATCTGAGTTCTATTTCCTCTTCAGTATATTCTTGATGACACCAAAGCACTGGAAGTATATTTCTGGTTTCTTCCAATGATGAGACTGTGAAGTGTTAATTTGTGGACTCAAATTTTATCTGTTACTTTGGTAGAACTTTCAAAATATGTGAAGAAAGAAGGAAAACAAATAGATGAGATTTAAGTACTTCTTTGTTGCATGAAAACATTTAATGTTAATATGAGAGATAATCGGCATTTTTGTACTCTGCATAAAAAGAAAAAATATGTAGTGCTTAGTTCTCCTTGATTCTTCTCCACAAAAATATGAGAATACATCTTAGCTAGTTCTAATAAAATTACATTTTATAAAAAGGTTTTTAAAAAAATTTGAAGGAATATATTGTGATTTGTGGCTTAGATAAATAAGGCCACACAACATCCTTTAGCTGCATTGTTCTGTGCTGCAGGACTTTTAAGTTCAAAAGAAAACAGTCCTGTCACAAAAATAATAGTTATCATGTGCTAAGTACTTATTATGTTCCAGGCACTATGCAGCTTTCCATTTATTCCTCATAAAACACCCAAGAGTTAGTTTTAAGTATCCTCCTCATTGTATAGGTGAAGAAAAAATGATACTTAAGGATAATAAATAACTTGACTAAGGTCATACCACCATCATGTAGCAGAAACATTTTGAACCCAGGAGTTCCCCAATACCAACACATATATCTTGTCTTCTACCTAATGCAGACTCATAATTTAAAGAAAAAAGGATTTTTTACAATTGACTTGTTAGAACAGAAATACGTTAGCTGAAAAAAAATCTATCTTCTATGCAGTAAAATAGCAAATATTCTCGTCGTGATTGATAGAAATAGAAATAGAGAGGTATAAGTAGGAAATTTCCCAGTTACTTTTTATCACATTCTTATTGCATTTGGTTTCTGAACAAGTGAAACCACACAATCGCCATGTTCATTTTATATTTCCTTAATTCATGTTCTTTAATTTCTTCTAATACTTTTAGACTTAATACACTGTTTTCTAACTTTTTGAAATATTTAAATAATTGGTATTCAGCTTATCTTATTTTCTAACATATATATTTAAAGCTATTAAGTTCCCTTCTAAACAAAACTTTTTCTACTTTCTAAATCATTTTATATGTAATATTTTGTTTAAAAATGTTCATAATTTTAATTTAATTTCTTTTTTGACCTATTAGTTTTTTTGGTAGTTGTTAAGTTTCCAAATATCTATGGATATCTAGCATATCTGCCCTGTGATCAGCAAGTTTAAAGCATAGGATATCAGTCTATTAAAACTTTTTGAGACTTGCCTAGAATATGCTGGTTTTAAAAATTATTCCACGTATACTTGTTGGTTAGCTCTATTGGTTACCAATGAAAGAGTATTAATATATCACACAATAATTATGAATTTCAGGTTTGCACTTAAGTTTTAGTTTCCTGTGACTGCTGAAACAAATCACTGTAGACTTAATAGTTCATAACAAGACAAGTTAATTATCTTATAACTCAATGTAAAAAGTAAAGTAGAGGTTCCTCTTCAAAGACTTTCCTCCCCATCTAATTAGGAATAAATAGTAACTTCTCTTAGAAGCAAAATTTATTCAAAGACCTGTGCTAACATTCTTAAATATTTGCTAGCCGTAATAAAAAAATCAATGTACTTTATGTTCTTAGCTCCCACAATTTAGCCTAAATATTTACCCTTGCATGTTTAAACTGGTCCAAGCAAGCATTAGGTCATAGCTTGTTCCTCTTCCTTATTTAAAAGTGTTTTTACTTTCTTCAGCATTCTACAAGTTACTTCCTCCTTCCTTTGTTCCCTCTACCTTTGCCTCTTTTAAAAAGTTCTAAGTGGCTAGCCAATCGGGACAAATACAGAATGTGAGGTCCCGTTCCAGCCAATGGAAACCAGACACAGCAGTAGGGTGGACGCATCAGGTTATAAATGACCCTGTCTCCTTTGTTCGGTGTACCTTTGTGGCAAAACTGCTTGCGAGTGTACCCTTTCCGCAGGAAGTAAAAATGGCCTTACTAAATAAATTTATGTTCAAGTGCAATTTCTTTATGGCACCAGGGAACAAGCATTTCAAACATCAAGAAATCATTAAACTGAAATGAGTCTCACTTGGCTAAAATTAAGCTGTTGTCAGTGATATCTTCCTTCTGAAAATTCTAGGGAATTTCTTTTTTTTTTTTTTTTTGCTTTTTGCTCTTTCCAGCTTCTGAAAGAGACTGCCTTTACCCCTTAGCTTGGGGTCCATCATCTATATTCAAAAGCATTCAATCTCTAAGGCTTAAAAACATTGGCCCAATTCACTCCAAACTTTGCTTCCCTTATCACATCTGCTTTTCTGTCTCTGACGCTCTCGCTCCTGCTTCCCTCTTCAACATATAAGGGCCCTGTAATCACAGATTGTTGGAACCGAGTGAGTTACAGAGAAACGCCACACTCTGAGACTAATTCAGGAGTCCTTTATTGCCGGCGACCGAGAGACAGCTAGAACTAAAAAATTCTCTCAGCCCCGAAGAAGGGGCTAGATGTTTTTTTTTATACCTTGGTCTAAAAAGTGGAGGCGGAGCCTAGCTGAAGCAATTTTACAGAAGCAGAACAAGCAAAAAGTTAAAAGATAAATGGTTACAGAAACAGTTACAGAAAAATAAACAGTTCCAGGTGCAAGGGCTTAAAGTATCACAAAGAGATAAATGCAGGGGCTTTGGGTACCATCAACCGAGTGCGTTCCCAGGGGCTGCTGGTACAGCTTGCCCCAGTATCTTAACAGTAAGTGCGTTCCTGAATGTGCTTGGAGTCAGCTTGCACCAGTTATGTCCTTAAGGGAAGGGGATAAGGGGCTGCAAATGAAGAAACCAAAATGGAGTCTGGCTCTCTCAGCTAAGTGAGAGTCAATCAGGTTAAAACAAGGTAGGGTATCACATTTCCCACTCATGTTTTTGGGGAATCAAATGATTGATTCCTCAGTTATAACGAGGGGGTTATATTGGGTTTTAAGATACATAAGTTTGACATAAGCTATGTGTTGCTTTATAAAGTTAAGAAACCAATTTAACATGCAAGGCCTGAAGACTAAACCTAACAAGAGGAGGAGGAGAGGTCCCGCCAACCCAGTAATTAGAGTAGTTAGCCATGGATTCCGGTTGAACATATTTTGGTACCGGGGGTGTTATTTTCTCGTTCTTGCTGGCGTCTATCTAGATTTTCTCTAACTCTTTGAAGAGTATTTTTATGACTCCAGACTGGTTTGCATAGAAACAACAACTTTCTTCTAGTGCTGCGCATAAACCTCCTTAGGAGAGAAATAGCAGGTCTAAGCCTCGGCAGTTTTGAAGAACTACTTCAGTTAGAGACTCTACCTGGGTATGTAGTATATTTACGGCTGATTGGAGATTGTTTAAATCAGCATCTACTTGTTGAGATAGGGATATTAATCCAGTTTCTCCTTGAATCAGGGCACTCATGCCGATGGCTGCTGACCCAGCTGTGCTAAGGCCGGCTAGAAGGGGTACAAGGAGTGGGGCAGCTTGGCGAAACCTTAACTGCAACTCAGCGGGGGGCAATGAGAGGTTGTCCTTCTGGCCCACTGTAGACATAGACCTGGGGCAGTACATGAACCAACACGCATAGGAGAGGTCCAGGTTCAGTCCCGTTGATGCAGCGAGTGAGGCCTGAAGTGCAGGCCAACCAAGTATTGTTGGGTGCCTGGTAGGAGACTGAGGCATTTAAGAAAGTAAGTAGAGATTGACTACAGGTAGCCTGAAAGGGAGAAGCAGGTAAGTTGTACCCGGCGCTAATTAGACAGGAGGCGTTCCCTGACATGTCTCCTAGTGTAAGGACATGGGGGCATGTATGACAAAAAAAGAGTTAATTTTAAGTGTGGCTTCTACTCCCAATCCAACATAATATGGGGGCTTGGCCTTTAGGCATAACCAACAATCTTGGGCTAGTCTAGCCTGGGTGAGATTAAAGAGGTGATGTACCCCATCCAGAATGGACATCAGACTGGGTTGGAGGTGTTGTCGTTGCAGCTGAGGTCTATGAACCAGGAATGCTGGTGGGACAGTTGAATCGACCCTGTCTGGGTGTTTTTGGAACATTGGGTCACCTAAATCAGTTAATGGTCCGATTGGCTTAGGAGGGCTCCATGGGACCAGGATTTTCTGCTGGATGGTGAGCAGAGTTCCAACATCAAATCCTGAGATATAAAGCCTTAATCCCCATGACATGCCGTAATACCACTGAGTTAAACTAGGGTTATGGACAGTTATAGTAAGAAGATTGCAGTTTCCCATAGTACACTGTCTAGAACAGGAAGTGCGGGCTATGGATAGGGTTGAGGACCTCGTTGATTCTCCAGAGTAAGTGGCCAAGTTTACACACCTCCAGTAAGGACAGAAAAACTGGTAAGAATCTCGACAACTAGAGTCGGGGTGATTTCCAGGACAGAGGTAAAAGTTAATGCTCTGGAGTCCTTTCTTTGCACCCTTGGAACTTCCACATCCAGTCTGGCTTCCGGTGTGTCCAAGCCCTGTAGCGAGGTCGACGTTCCCTACTCCTATGATCGGCAGATTGCATTGCTCTTTGAGGGTACGGGCAGGCACTGGAAACAAAGCACATAAATCGACTGCAAAAGAGACTTCCTTGGAGGTTCCCACCTTCCAGGTGGTGTTGGCAAACACGTCCTGTCATGAAAGAGGTGAGGAGAAAAGAGTAGGAAGGGGCAGGGGGCATAACAGGCATAAACAAACAAAAGAGGTAAATAAAAAGAATAAATTTGGTGGCTTCACTTGACTTAGGCGCAGTTTTAAGGGGCCTGGCCCGGGCTTGGGGACCCATGTTTCTTGCTGGCCTTTGTTGGCCTTTTTGATGCAGGAGTGATGAATCCAAGCAGGAATGCCATCTACTTTCAGAGCCGTCGGCGTGGTGAGGATGACAGTATGAGATCCTTTCTAGGCAGGAGTGAGTCCTTCCTTCTGGAACCTTTTAACATACACCAGGTCACCCTGCTGAAAAGAGTGGCAGGGTCCCGTCTGGTCAGGAACTGGATTGGGGTGTGCTCCCCGGACAAGTGGCTGGATGATGTCTTGTACCTGTTGGAGAGACTGCAGGTACTGTAACAAATTAGCTTGTGAGATTTCTGCTGAATGGGTATCCCTTAGCTTAGGCAAGACAGGCGGAGCCCTTCCATACATGATTTCAAAAGGTGAAAAACCAGCCTGGCAAGGGGTGCATCTTACTCTAAGAAGGGCTGAAGGAAGGAGCTTTACCCAATTTTCACCAGTTTCTAAGATTAATTTGGTAAGAGTACTTTTTAGGGTGTGGTTCATGCATTCTACTTGTCTAGAGCTCTGGGGTCAATAGGCACAATGGAGTTTCCACTGAATGTTTAATGCCTTGCTAACCAACTGAGCTATGGACGAGGTGAAGGCTGGTCCATTATCAGACCCTATGGCAACAGGCAGTCCATGTCGAGGGATGATTTCATTGAATAAAAGCCTAACTGCCATGGTAGCAGTTTTGTTTTTGGTGGCAAATGCCTCAGTCTATCCAGAAAAGGTGTCTAGTAGCACCAGGATGTATTTATATCCTGCCCGGTGTGGTTTTACCTTCGTAAAGTCAATTTCCCACCTTTCTCCTGGCGAGCCTCCCCGGAGGCAGTGACGTGGGCTGGGTTTAGGACCTTGTTTGGCGTTTACCTGAGCACTAGCCGTATGCTGGAGAGCTGCTTGGTTAGTTAAGTCCTGAAGGTGGGGGATCTTGAAATGGCTCTTTAAAAGCTGGGCCAGTTTTACTCCTCCCAGATGGGTGGTAGAATGTAGATGATTGATTAAAGCTTCCCCGAGAGCTTGGGGCATGAAGATTCTGAAATCAGGAAGAATCCACCAACCTTCCTGATTTTTACTGGCCTGAAGATCCGAAGTTTGTTTTTCTTCCTCTGGGGAGTATTCTGGGTGGCCTGGCAAGTCTGGTTGCGGAAAGGACACAGCGGGCAGCAGGGTGAAAGGCACGACCAGGAGCCGAGCTGCCTCTCAAGCTGCAGAATCTGCTCTTTGGTTACCTCGAGCAACGGCCGTGTCTTCTCTTTGATGTCCTTTGCAGTGAATTACAGCCACCTGCTGAGGGAGCCAAACAGCTTCAAGCAGGGTCAAAATTTCTTCTTTGTCTTTTATAGTTTTACCCGCGGAGGTGAGTAGCCCTCGCTCTTGATAGATGGCTCCACGTGCATGTGTAGTAGCAAAAGCGTATCTGCTGTCAGTGCAGATATTAATACATTTGTCCTTACCCCATCAGAGGGCCTGAGTGAGGGCAACCAATTCAGCCCTTTGTGCCAAAGTACCTGCCAGCAGTGCCTGGGCCCACAGTACATATGAATCTATAGTAACGGCCGCACCAGCCTTTCGTACTCCCTGTTTAAGGAAGCTGCTGCTGTCTGTAAACACAGTGGTATCTGCCTCCTTTAGAAGCACATCTTGGAGATCAGGTCGCCCAGTTTCTGTAGTCTCTAACAGTTCTTGGCAGTCATGGACAGGTGTGGTAAGGTGTGGATCAGGGAGCAAGGTAGCTGGATTTAAACACCTTGTGAGAGAGAAAGTTAAATGAGGCTGATCTAACAGTAAGCTCTGATACTGCAGGATGCGAGCATTCGACATCCATTTGCCAGAGGCACTTCGTAGCAAATTCTCTATGGCATGAGGAGCCGTGAGGGTTAAATTCTGGCCCAGAGTCAGTTTATCAGCCTCCTGGACCAGGCTTGCTGTTGCCCCTACAGCTCACAGACAACTTGGCCACCAGGAGGCCTCAGGGTCTAGTCTCTTAGACAAGTAGGCCACTGGGCATTGCCATGGTCCCAAAGTCTAAGTGAGTACCCCTTTAGTGACTCCCTGGCTTTCATGAACAAAAAGGTGAAATGGTTTTGAGATATTTGGGAGGACAAGAGCAGGGGCCTCCGTTAATACCTTTTTCAGGTTTAGAAAAGCCTGTTCTTCTTTGTCAGTCCAAACTAGCGGGCCATTAACTCCAGTAGCGGTATAAAGGGGCTTGGTGATTTCCGCGAACCCTAATATCCATAGGTGACTGTCCCACAGCCCCCGGGAATTCATGTACCTGTCTTTTGGTGGTGGGAGTGGAGATTCGCAGGATGGCCTTCTTTCAAGCACTGGTGAGTGCCCTTTTTCCCTTGTTTATCTCGTACCCCAGGTAGGAAACTCTGGGAAGACAAAGCTGGCCATTCTTGGCCGAGACCCGATACCCGAGTTCCTGAAGGAGGTAAAGTAGGTCCCTAGTATGTTGCAGGCAGCTGTCAGTAGTTTTAATAGCCAATAACAGGTGGTCTACATACTGGAGAAGAGTGCAGTGAGGGTTACTGGCTCAGAATGGTATAAGATCCTGTTGGAGGGCTTCCCCAAAAAGGGTAGGGGAGTTTTTAAAACCCTGGGGTAATTGAGTCCAGGTTAATTGGGTGGTGTCTCCCGAGCCAGGATCTGTCCATTCAAAAGCAAAGACAGGTTGGATTTTGGGGGCCAGAGGAATAGCAAAGAAAGCATCCTTTAAGTCAAGGACAGTATACATTGTATGTTCGGGCGGGAGCAGGCTGAGTAAAGTATAAGGGTTAGGCACAGTTGGATGGATGGTAACTGTCCACTTGTTAACTTCCTACAAATCTGTACAGGCCGGTAATCATTTGTTCCGGGTTTCTGGACCGGCAAAAATGGAGTATTCCAGGCGGACTCACATGGTGGGAGTATACCAGCTTGTAATAGTCGCTGAATATGGGGATCGATTCCCTCTCTAGCCTGCTGACTCACAGGATATTGTTTTACCTGGACTGGCAGCAGTGGCCAGGAGCTCTACAACTACTGGCAGATGGTGCTTTGCCATTCCTGGGGGGTTTGATTCGGCCCAGACTCAGGGAAACAGAGTCTGTAAATCCAGTAGGAGAGGATTAGTACTATTTCCCAGCAGTTGTGAGGGTGAAACTAAGAGATATTCCTCTGACAGAGGGGTGGTTAGCAGAAGCTGAGCAGTAGGGGGTGCTGTGTCCCCTAACATGATGTGAGCTTGTTGGGCCGAGAAGGAGATGGACGTCTGTAGCTTATGAAGTAGGTCTCGTCTGAGGAGGGGGAAGGGGCACTCTGGGACTGCAAGAAATGAGTGGGTTACTCTTTTCTGTCCCAAACTCACCTCTCGTGAGTGGGTGACAGGATATTCCTGAATAGCTCCCATAGACCCTTGCACAGCCACCTTTTTATTAGAGACACTGCCCAAGGGTATCTGCAGTACCAAGTGTTCCGCCCCGGTGTCAATTAGGAAGCGTATAGGCTGGCCCCCCAGTGTGGCAGTCACCATGGGCTCCCAGGGGCCAAGGGAGAGGGAGCCCCGGCCCCATCAATCATCAGATTCCTCCGCAGCAGGGAGGGTGAGGACCTTTTTCTCTTCTGGTTTTTCTTCTGGTTTTAATGGGCATTCCATTTTCCAGTGTCCAATCTGCTTGCAATAAGTGCATTGGTTTCTTTGTAGGGGAGCCTGCTCAGCTTTTGGCCTTTCTGGCAGGGACCCGGGATCCCTTGGCCAGTGCTCTGTGATGGGGGCCCTTCTGTCTTGGCTTCTTGGATGGCAGCCACGAAGATTTTTGCCTGTCTTTTTGATGCTTTGTCAGCAGCCCTTTCAGCTGCCTGAGCTGCCTGTTTTTGCTTTTTAACCTCTCAATTGTCAAAAACTTTCTGGGCTATCTCTAAAAGTTGGCTGGTGTTCATTCCAGCAAATCCCTACAGCTTTTGTAACTTTCTTCTATCAGGGGCTGCCTGAGCCACAAATGCCAAATTAATAGCACGGCTATTCTCGGGAGCTGCCAGGTCAAAAGGGGTATAAGTCCAATAGGCCTCTTGGAGGCATTCTAGAAACGCTCCTGGTGACTCATCGGGCCCCTGGACCACTTCAGTTGTCTTCGACAGATTCATGGGTTTTCGAGTGGCTCCCTTGATACCTGCAAGGAGATACCAATGAAAATTATCCAAAGCTCTCTTCCCACTTGAGGAGTTTGGATCCCAATCAGGCCAGGTAGAGGGAAAAACCTCCTCAAGGAGGTCTTGGGCTTCCTCCTCTGGTCTACTGGCTGATGTAAGGAAATACTTTCTGGCCTCTCTTTGGATACGGTCCCTCTCTTCAGAAGTGAAGGTTTAAAAGGAGTTGCTGACGGTCATCCCAGGTGAGCTGGTGGGTCCAGAGCACGGACTCTATCAGTGAGGTCAAGACTTGGGGCTTTTCAGAGAAGGGGGGATTATGAACCTTCCAGTTGTACAGGTCAGAAGTAGAGAAGGGGACATAAACTAAAAATGGAGCAGAACACTCACTGCCCGGGGGGATTTGGGACTCTCTCAGTGGGAGGAGGGGGGCCACCTCCTCCAGCCAAGGCTGTAATTGGGTGGCTATAGGGAGAGAGGCCACAGGGGACGTAGTCGAGGAGACAAGGGAAGATTCTGGGGGAGCAGGAGGGTTATAGGGCGGCAGACATGGGTGAAGAAAATTTTCCTCTTCTTCAGAAGGAGGCAGTACAGGAGGAGCCGAGGGAGGGGAGGGTTGGGGCAAAAGTTTGGTCCGGCTCAAAAGGACCTTGGAGGTGGGATCATGAATGGTGCATGAGCAGAGCCGTGGAGGAGGGCTCCAGACCAAATCTAGCCATTGATCAATGTAGGGAAACTGATCGGGGTGTCTGGGAGTTCCAGCAATGACCCGCTACACAGCCTGAACAATTGTGAGATTCAGTGACCCTTCTGGGGGCCACCCGTTACCAAACTTTGGCCATTCTACTTCACAGAGTGTCCAGAGTCTGCCCTTTTTAAGGTGGACTCCGTAATCATCTGAGAAGCCTAGAGAGAAATTCTGCAACATATATTGGAGAGTGCGCCAATCTCTACGGGGCCGGGAAGAAGAGTTTCCCATTCTGGAGGCAAATTAACAAGGTTTAAGCAGAAATATTAAACCCAGCATGGATAGAGATATTCCTGGCCTGGGGGGCTGCTGAATCAGAAGAACAGAAGTATTATAACCAGAAGAAGTAGGAAAACAGCTATAGCCAACGCTTCTTGCCACATAAGGCCTGTCTTCTCAAGCTTTGAGATCTAGGGAGAGGACAAGAGGCGGCTCCGTGGGATCCTCAGCCAGTGGGACCTAGGGGACCCCCACCTTCTTCTTCTTGACTTATGGCCCAAATATCTTTGGTGTTTCCACTACTCAAAGGCAAAAAGTTTGAACTCGGCCCTTTCTTTGAAGGGTTTAAGGAGGGAGAACAGAGCCAAGTCTTGGAGGCATTGGACTTGCTGCGACACAGGGAAACGAGACGTGCGGGGTAAAGGATGCCGATGAGGAGGAAAGGGGCCACTCGGATCTTCCCAAAGGTTGGCGAGTAGCCACGGAGGGGTAAAATAAGAGTCCAGACGGAGTAAAGCAGTATGGGCGTAGGTTTCTCTGCACAGTGCCTTATTTAAGGGCATGGGAAAAGTTACAGGATGACAGAAAAGGTGAGCAAGGAGATCAGCAGGGTGGCTATATTGGATCCACCACTAGTCTAAGGAGGAGGTGGACCAGTCATTGGGGCGTGGGGTATGGCAATCCAAACACCAGCAATCTTTATGGTGCCAGAAATTCCAAACAGGCGAATGTCTTCCACACCCTTTCCCATAACAACACCTGATTTGTTTCTGACAGAAAAGACAGGACTGGGATGGCCAGCCCAAATGACTAATGAGAGATTTGACCTCCTGGGATAGAAGATCTGTACTGAGGACCTTGAAGAAGTCCTTGCCCAGTCGTCTTGGGCAGTATCGATGACCTGACCTACGAAATTTAGACAGACACCAAACAGGACAATAGACACGGGGGTATATAAACAAGTATGGCAATTTTTATAGACAGACAAGGGGAGTGGGTCCCGTGATGGGATCAGTCAGATGCCTGCCTGGCTGCTCCCCTTGCGGGGACTTAGGCTCCTCCTGGCATTGGCAGGCCGGTATAAACCCCCGGCTCGGATCCAGCTATGCCCGATGCTGCCCTAAGCTTTATGAGGTCGCCACGGAACCGCAGGTGAGGGCCCTCTGAAACTCCATAGCTTTCGCCATGGAGCTACAAACTAGAAATTCAAGCACAAGCCCTTGAACTCCACATGTACTCACTCACTCACAGAGTTTATTACAATTTTTTATACCCGTTTAAAACCGAGGTCTCCTAGAGACCTGAACGAGAGAAGGAGAAGAGATAGAGAGAGACTAGACTTAACAGAGAAGACTGACAGAAACCAGGACGCTGTCCTCCAGCATCCTAGAGTGTGGACAGAGTCTGAGGGAGAAACCTAGTCAGAGCCATTTCCCTCCCAGGGAGACAGAGTCAGATCTGACTTACCTTCCCGGGACCGGAGACTGAGGACTCAGGAGTTGAATTTGGTTGGGCACACCAGCAGTTGATCCGTTCCCCTCTGGAAGACGGTGGCCTACGGGGCCCTGGAGCATCTTTAGGTGGCGCCTACCCTGTAAGCCCGCCGTTGCTCCGGGGGAGCCCGGAACGAGTCCGGCCCTCACCCGGTGGCGGATCTCGCTGGGGCCTCCAAAGTGTCATAACCGAGAGAGTTATAGAGAAACACCACACTCCGAGACTACTTCAGGAGTCCTTTATTGCCGGCGACCGAGAGACAGCTAGAACTAAAAAATTCTCTCGGCCCTGAAGAAGGGGCTAGATTTCTTTTTATACCTTGGTCTAAAAAGTGGAGGGGGAGCCTAGCTGAAGCAATTTTACCGAAGCAGAACAAGCAAAAAGTTAAAAGATAAGTGATTACAGAAACAGTTACAGAAAAAATAAATAGTTCCAGATGCAGGGGCTTAAACTATCACACAGAGATAAATGCAGGGGCTTTGGGTACCATCAACCAAGTGCGTTCCCAGGGGCTGCTGATATAGCTTGCCTCAGTATCTTACCAGTAATTGGATTCCTGAATGTGCTTGGAGTCAGCTTGCACCAGTTATGTCCTTAAGGGAGGGGGATAAGGGGCTGCAAGTGAATAAACCAAAATGGAGTCTGTCCGGCTCTCTCAGCTAAGTGAGAGTCAATCAGGTTAAAACAAGGTAGGGTATCACAAGATTACTTTGGGCTCAAACAAATAATTCAGCATAATGTTCTCATCACAAGGTCAGCGGATTAGCAATCTTAATTCCATCTGTCTCCTTAAAATCTCTTTGCCATATAACCCAAGAAATTCAAAAATTCCAGGGATTAGAATGTTCATACCTTTGGGGAAACATTCTCCGTATTATATAACCATTCTGAGGCCCCTACTAAATCATAAGCTAAAACTTATGATGATTATCTGGGTCCAGCATCCTTGGGGGGCATTTCGATCACAACCTTTGTTTTCCCAACTATGCAGAAAATGATTAACAGCAGGCCAAGCTTTTCAAACCCTGTACCTTCTAGATAAAAGCTGATTTTCAGAACTGGGCCTTGCCCAAGCCCCTGGGATACAACCTTTGAGCTGTTGGAATATTCTGCCTGATTAGATTGTTTTTGTATTCCTGATTCCTTGGGCCACACTGGACCGGTGTTACCAGATAACTTTATCCTGTGTGATTCATGGTGAATGCCTGTTTTTGCTGTGAGAAGGCTGGAGTCTGAGTAGATAGTCGATCATGCAGGCCCTGCACATATATGTGACTAATCCGCAATAAAAACCCTGGACTCAAAGCTCAGATCTGCTCTCCTGGTTGGCAACACTTTGAACATATTGTCACACACAGATGCTGGGAGAATGCACCAAGTCCTTGTTTGACTTTACTAGAGGAAACACTTGAAAAATGCTCCTGGTTTTTCCCAGATTTCTCCTATACTCCTTTTTCCCTTTGCTGATCCCAAAGTGTATCCTTTTTCTGTAATAAACCGTAAGCGTGAATACAACAGCTTTTATGTCCTGTGAGTCTTTCTAGTGATTCATTGAGCCCAAGAGTGGTCTCGGGGAACCCCACCAACACCAGTATTGTGAGACTGCAGAAAGTTGCGTTGCGCTGTCTGCCTCTTAGCATCAGCTTTCTGCTTGACTTCTCATTCTCTTGGCCCCATTCTACTTATGAGTCAGCAAACTCCTTAAGGATAAAGTGCTGCTATCAGTCTCCACTTCATCTCTATTCTTTCTGAATTTTGACTCCTTAATCCTAGTTTCCTTTGTACCTTGAACTTCATTTTTTTTCTTCCAAATCCTGTAAGACTGTAAAAATTCTGCTAAGGTAACATGCTTCCCGGTTGTTTCTTTTTATTCAGTTTCTCAGTTTGTTTGCACTGATGAAAAATTGACCGACGTAGAGCAAAACAATGCAGAATATTGGACTCATCACAAGCCATTTCTCTTTTCTATCAGATAACATCCACTCAAGTATTGTCTTCCTGCTGCTCTCTGATGACCTGTGGCTGATTTTGTTAGATGGGTTTATCTGATACAAGCTTGTCCTTCATAGGTGGGATCACATATCTCTCTATTCCCATCTATTTCTGCTTGTAATTTGACCAGTTCATTCCTGAGCTCATTCATTTCTTATAATTCCTTTCAAATCTTTCCAGTATCAGAGCTAAATACAGTCTACTACCATTCAACTGTCTACTCTTTTTCCCTAAAAGAACAAGATCGTTAGCTTCATAATCTGTGCTCCTATTTACCTTTCATGACAGTTTTCTTCCTGCATTCTCAAATTGCAATTTTCAACCTTACATCTAATTCCTTATTCAATGCCACATAATTTAGGTTTATCCAGAGTAGTAACGCATTCCTGATACCAATTTCTGGCTTAACAGAATGAAAGTTGATCACTCACTTGTGCTACATGTTGCTTTTGATTGAGATATAGCTTTGTTAGGCATAATTACTCAGAAAACAAGGGTGATGACAGCTGTTCAGTCTTATAGTTCCACTATACAAAATGTCTTCTTTTTTTACTTTTGCTGACAATTTTGGTCATAGTATATTGGTTATAACTAGTCACATGGCAAAGCCTAACTGTAAGGGGGCTGGGAAATATAATCTATGTTCCTGAAAGGAAAAGAACTTGGATATTGGTAAGCACTAGTAAAGTGCACCTCGGTAGCTGACATTTATTGAGTACCTATTTACAGCAGACTCAGTGCCACGAGACCAATATACTTCATTTTATTATATTCTTTTGTGTGTGTGTTTTTGAGAGAGAGTCTTGCTCTGTCGCCAGGCTGGAGTGCAGTGGCGCGATCTCAGCTCACTGCAACCTCTGCCTCCCAGCTTCCAGCAATTCCCCTGCCTCAACCTCCCGAATAGCTGGGGCTACAGGCATGTGCCACCACTCCTGGCTAACTTTTTTGTATTTTAGTAGAGGTGGGGTTTCACTGTGTTGGCCAGGATGGTCTCGATCTCCTGACCTCGTGATCTGCCCGCCTTGGCCTCCCAAAGTGCTGGGATTAGAGATGTGAGCCACTGTGCCCAGTCTGTTATATTCTTATAAAAAGTGTATAGCATAGCTATTAATAATTTTACAAGGCTGATGTAGATTTAGTGTTTGCCTACAGGTCACACAGCTAGTTAGTGCAGCAGCCTGGGTTTGAATCCAGAGTCTGACTCACTCTAACTCTGTGTATTCCCCTCTTGTGCATAAAACATTTGTGCTGTAAGTATTTGTTGAATGCATAAATATTGTGTTATGGTAGTTGATATAGTTTCATTCAGCTTTCTATTGGGAAAATATTGTTATTTCAGAACTTTATTTGTGACGGACATCATTAGAGAAATATGTCATGTGTCATATGTCATCTATCATCTCTGAAATATGTCATCTATCATGTCTTTAAATAACTGCTAGCTCAAAAGAGCTACATTCTGTAATTGGTTATTCACATCTATCCATGTATCATGTTAATTATCATCATCATTATAGTTATCTCCCTTTTCATGTCTGACTTTAGAAGAGGAATCTGACTTCTGTAGCAAATGTGTCTATTAGTTTGAGTTGTAGGTTGCAAAAGTAGGTACAGTAAAGAACTACGCATTCTGCTTAATAAAAATAAAGTATGTATTTTATGGATTTAATTGATATACTTCGTATGGGATTTTCAATATCAGTAGTATGGTATTACATTAAATTATGATTGGCACCATGCATATTTTAGTAGTAAAATCATTAAGTTATTTTGCTTAAGAAATTGGTCTTGGAAGAGCACACCTTTTGTGTCCTTTAGTTGTATATTCTGTGTGGGGCAAGACTGTGTCTTATAAAAATATCTTAAATCTCTCATTTTTATGGAATGTGAACTTAAATCTTATGTATGTGAGAGATGTGAACTGACACATAATACCTAGGACTGTTTCCCCTAAACATTTATAATTTATGTCAAAGAACAGTTGTCCTATTATACAATACAAAATGTGGTATATTGGTATATAAATATGAAATCATAAATTAAGATGAAATGCATTATTCATATATTAGGAAGAGAGTAGATTGCCTACTATGTGCCAGACACTGCAAGCTGCTATAGGGTGATGCTTCATATCTATTTAAAGGAAATTGGTAAGTTTACATAACCTGAATTTAAAAATGGGCACTTTTGCTCCCAATTTTTATGTCATTATGAGCAATCCCTGCATGGCAGTACCTCCTAAGCTTCTAAAATGAATAAGAAATGCTTCTAAAGGATGAGAATATTAAGTTTAAAGAAAGATGAGGGAAGTTTCTGTGAAATTAATCTTATGTCAGGAACGTCCTTGGGAGGAGAAATGGAAAATCACTGCTGCTATCACCCTTCCAGTTATAAAAAGAGGTTCATCGTTTTGGAATTAACTTGCTATGAAAAGAGCCTTAATTATCAGGTGTTTTGTATAACCATTTTTTTTTTTACAGAAAAATGTTTGTAACTTTGTGTGTTTTCCCTCTGAGATGGATGTGCTTTCTCTGCTAATTTTGGAGCCCTGCTGGTTCCTTTTCATCATTCAAATAGGACACAGCAGAGAGTGGCTGTCAATAAAAGAGCAATTTGTCTTTTAAACAGAACACACATAACAGCTCCTTTGCTGCCATAGCTATTGATTACAGCCTGAAGGGTTTGCCCCTCTTTTCAAGAGTCTTAAGATCACTGCTTCATATTGTTAACAAGGTTAAATTCCACTCAATTCCTTTTGCATAACTCAAACCGACATACAAGATTGAAAGCTGAATTTTTACTTCTTCGTGTTGCATTTCATAGTTATTAAGAAATTATACATATAGAGAAACTTGAGTTATCTTTGTAGGTTGTTATTGCAATGGGTTTTTTTTGTTTTTTATTTACAAAATTAGTTTTAAATTACAAACTCAATTTTAAAAGGGCCATTTTGGTATTGGCATATATTTTAAGAAAAGGCATAAGAGCTTCTGATTTGCAAATAAGTCAGACATAATAAGTGAGGTAATGCTGTGATAATGAACAATCTCTACAACTTAGGGACTTAAAGTAGCAAAGGCTTATTTCTTGCCCACATAGCATGTCCATCCTAAGCTACCTGTGAGCTTCCTTCATGTCCTTCTTATTCCAGGACCAAGGACAATGTAACCATCATCTGAAACATTTCAAGTTGCATGTCAGAGAAAAATAAAATGTAATACAGATACACTGGTTCTTAAGGCTTTCTTCTGGTAGTGATACACAACACTCCTGCTCACATCTTCATGGGACAAAGAGAGTCACATGGCTATGCCAAAATTCAAGTGCATACAAAAAGTTTAATTCTGCCATGTGCTCAGGAGAAGAAGCAAAATATTTGTTAATAGTCTTAAAGTCTACCACAGAAATCATATACACATTTTGGTATATTTTAAGAATGTGTATTTTCAGAGAATTTTGTGATTTAGGAAATTTTTTCTAGGTTCTTTATATTATCTCAATTTATGGCAGAAATATTTAGAATTTATCTAAAGAAGTATAAATGCACATGGACTGTAATAAACTTTTTTGACAAAGTAGCATCTGTGTAATGTCCAGACCTTCTAATCTGGATATCATTACCTTGTTATAGTTACTCATAAGGTTAATCTTCTTTTGATGACAAACTAATTCTTGACGGAAAGCTTTAACTTGGAACTTTAATGACCACAGATAATTAATTGAGAGTCATTAAACATAGAGTCTACTATGGAAACCATGCATAGTTTCTTGAATTAATTAATTTGATATAATCCTCAAATAATAACAGAAGTTAAGGCTAGTCTTGTTTAAAACTTCAAATCTTATAAATCCCAAATTGCAAATTCAAAATCCTCTCCTGACTGCAAATATTTCAGTGCTGTTATATAACTGTTCTCTGGGTATTAAGCTATTATACAATTGTTAAGTTTAGCCTAAAGCTCCTTCCTTGCATATTTTAAGTGTAGCATAAAGGCTTCTCTATAGGTAGTGAACCACAAACTAACTGGATGTGTTAACATACTGTACTCTACTCTTGTGCCAATCACTGACGTTCAGCCAATCAAGGATGGACAACTGTTCAAACCATGTTCAAATAAGGCAAACAAACACTGAGCTAGAACTGACCCAGCTGTCTCTACTCCTCAGTTCTGTCTTCTGTACACCACTTTCCTTTTTCTGTTTATAAATCTTCCTCCACGCAGCTGACCAAGCTGGAGTATCTGAATCTGCTGTGATTCTGGGGCCTGCCCAATTTACAAATCATTCTTTACTCAGTTAAACTCTGTTAGATTTAATTTGTCTGAAGGTTTTCTTTTAACACAGTTTTCCTAAAATTGATGCTGTTTTCCTATTGAAAAAAGCTTTAAATCTAGTTCAATGGTTCCTGAATTTGGTTGAACATTAGAATATCCAAAGTAACATACTAAACCTTTTTTATGGGTTTGTAGCTCAGGAAATGCCAGATGAGGGGATTTGGGAGGAAGCCTGAAATGTGTGTTACTCTGGAGATGATAATAAAATAATATCTTCCACTAAATATGTCAAATATTTTTGTAGATATACTAACTAATTATTGGGTGGTCACTCTTGTAAACAGAGAAAATGAAGCTCAGTCAGGTGGCAAGCACGGAGATTAGGAAAGTCAGAGTGAGACAGAGGTTATCCTTTGTTTTTACTAATAGTGTGATTTTGGACAAATTAGAGTTTTTTCTTTAAAGGTACATGACAGAAGTAAGTAATATATGTAATATATTTCTTGGCACACAGACTTTAAACAATATTGGCTTATATTGTGATTGTTCTTTCGGTTTATTATAGTTTTTGCAACTTTTGCTCCTGATATTATCTCAATTGAACTTTATGTAAGTTTTGACATTAAATTTAAGTTTCATAAATAGTAAAAGAAAGATGTCAGAATTATGAGTTCTTTTTCTTTTCTTTTTGAAAAATGTTCCAGGATACAAGAACCCTTTGGCTTCTGGGTTGATGTTAATTAAAATGAACTTTTTGGAAAGTTATTTTTCAGGTTATTTTGACATTATATTTCAAAATAGTTTGAGAGTTTTAGGGGGAAAATCTTTTAATATTGCGCCATTAAAAACATTTTCTATTTAATGTTTACCATTATAGTTTTGTTTTGTTTTTTTGAGGTGGAGTCCCACTCTGTCACCCAGGCTGGAGTTCAGTGGTGCAATCTTGAGTCACTGCAACCTCTGCCTCCCGTGTTCAAGTGATTCTCCTGCTTCAGCCTCCCGAGTAGCTGGGATTAAGGCATACACCACCATGCCCGGCTAATTTTTTTGTGTCTACTTTTAGTAGAGATGGGGTTTTGCCATGTTGGTCAGGCTGGTCTTGAAGTCCTGACCTCAGGTGATCCACCAGCGTGGGCCTCCCAAAGTGCTGAGATTACAGGCATGAGGCACAGCACCTGGCCAAAGGTGGCATTTTAAAAATCTTTTTTATTGTACATATTTAAAGTGTAAAATACGATGTTTTAATATACATATACTTAATGTAATGATTATTGCAGTAAAGCAACTAACATTTTCATTCCTTATACGGTTACCATTTTGTATGCTCATGGCAAAAGAACCTAAAATCTACTGTCTTAGCAAATTTTCAGTATATATTACAGTATCATTAATAATAGTAATCATTCTGCACATTAGCCCTTTTCATCCTGTGTAACTCCAACTTTCTAACTGTAAGGGGGAAGATAATTTCCTTTCCTTCCTTCTGAAGCATTGATAATTTGAGTCTATAAAGCAAACTGATAATAGACAGATTAGCAGAAAAAAAGCACACACATTTATCATGTGCACAAGAGTCCTGCAAAATATGAAAACTTAATGAAAGTGCCAGATGGCTCAAGGTTTTATACTGTCCTTAGGTCACAGAAAGAATAGGGGCTTGAAGCACTGCAGGACAGTTTATGGGAGGGAGAGAGAAGGAAAGGCATGGAGCAAAGGTGGTCTTGTTATACAGATGAAACTTGACAGGTAGCAGCTCTCAAAGAGTATGTGGTTGCCTATGGTACAAGTTTCTTTGTCAGACCCCTAGTCTCCTTTTCCTGTGAGATAATTATTCCAAGATCTAAGGAGAGGAGTGTTCATAAAAGGCCTGTTCGCCTCTGCTGTTTATTTCACTTTACTAATGTAAATTTCCTCTGCAGATACAAATCTGCCCCACAAATAGACAGCCTTTCAGCTATTCTTGTGTTTGCAACCCCTTTGAATAGCCATCTTGAAATATGCTGAGACATATACTTTGGGGTAAAATATTTTGTATTTTGTTCATAATTGTGCATTTTTTTAATATTAAGATAATTTATGCATTCCCTCATGGAGCCTATAAATGGGATGAGACAGTTGTAGAAGCTTGATGGTGTTTTATCAAATGTATTAAAAATTTACATGATTTTAAAAATATCTCTTGATAGATGGGGGAGAAAAATAAGTCTGTTTTTTTTGTCATTAGAAATGACATTCTTTAGGCTGGGCATGGTGACTCACACCTGTAATTCCAGCATTTTGGGAGGTCAAGGTGGGCAGATCACTTGTGCCCAGGAATTCAAGACCAGCCTGGGCAACATGGCAAAACCCTGTCTCTACAAAAAATACAAAAATAGCCAGGTGTGGTGGTGCGCACCTGCAGTCCCAGCTACTCAGGAGACTGAGGTGGGAGAATCACCTGAGTCTGGGAAGTTGAGGCTTCAGTGAGCCATGGTTGTGCCACTGCCATCTAGCCTGAGTGTGGCAGTCAGACCCTGTCATAACATAATATAACATCACATTATTTAGATAAGCTTCTTCAGACACTTATTTTACAGCTCAAGAAATGGAGGCCTAGAGCATTTAAGTCACTTGCCTAAACAAGAAAAGGTAAAGAAAATGGAAGGTAATGGGAGCATAATATCTAAGTCACTGAAATCAGGCATTTTTCTCAAATACTAATAGATTGGCTATAAAAGAAACCAAAATATTTTACCCCAAAATATTGTCATGAGATCCTTGGAGTATTGCTCTGCCAGCCCAAAACCTTTGTGACCCGTGGCATCTTCTGCATGAGTATTGCTTGCGCCCATTGGGCTTGTTCCGCCCACTCGGCCTGGCAGGCTGTGGTTGGCTTGTGCTGCTGGCCCAGATCCCATGCCTCCCAATGGCAAGCCAGGCACAGAACAGTGAGGGGTGTGTGCACAAGCTCAGGGTCCAGCCACTGTGCAAAGCCAGGTGTGCCAGCTGCAACAGGGTGGGCAGTTCCAGGCACCCGCACAGCTGCTGACAGAGGCTGCAGCTGAACCAGATGTACTACACGAGGCTTCCACTGTGGGCATCCACGTCTGGATGAGGGGAATGCAGTGGCACCCAGAAGCTTGGAGATGCCAGGAACGACAGAGCCACAAAGAGGATGTCACAGCCCTGTCTTGGGGAGCCCCTAGGTCTGAGGTCCCTTGAAGGGCAGCAGCTCTTCTCTCCTTCTCATTGCCCACAGTGTGTTGGGCCAGGGGGTTGAGGGCAAAGTTTCAGCCCTGTTTGTGTTACAGCCTTTTCAGTCACGCCATTCAGCAGGTCCCATGTTCTTGTCCTGCATCCAGGAAGAATGACGTACACAGACAACTGGAGAGTGAGTAAGGTGGAGAGAAGCTTCATTGAGCGACAGCTCTCAGGAGACCCAAAGTGGGTACCGCAGGCATGTCATCCCGAGTGTCCAGCTCTCAGCAGAGGAGACTGACAGTGGATAGCTCCTTTCCATAGGCAGGTTGTCCTGATGAGTCAAGGAGACCCGACATGGGTAGCTCCCTCCTGCTGCTGGTAGTCCTGGTGAGTCAAAGAGACCTGAAGTGGGTAGTTCTTTCCCGCATCTGGTGGTCCTCACATCTGTCTGAGTCTGACTCAGTCTGTTCTTTTTATGGGCTCAGAAGGGAGAAAGTGTGTGCTGATTGGTCCATGGGTAGCCATGGGTGGGCCCAGAAAAAGCACCATAATTTCTCAGTCCAGGTCACAGATTTCACCCAGAACTAGCAGTCCAGCCCACAGGCTTCAGGCTGGCCCTGGCTTGAAAGTGGGGTTTCACCAGGGACCCGCCCCTTTCCACCCAGGAACCTGTCTGCCTCCAGCTATAAACATGCCATTCATGGCACCCAGGCTGTTTGCACCAAGGGACACCTGCAGCCCCATGCAGAGCTGCCCTTAGTGCCCCCAGGCCTCCCTTCTGCACTAGTCAGTGACCAAAGTCCTGTGGGGGCCCAGGTGGCAAGGGGGGCTGCTGTGTCAGCACTGCCCTGAGCATGCACACACTCAGCAAGCTTGCAACAGTGCCCGGACTTGACCACAACTTTGCTCCAAAATCAAAGTGGACACTGGGAGCAGGGAGAGGCCGGGGAGTGGGAGCAGGCACTTTTGAGCTTGCAGGGGCTGGGGGGCTTCCTGGGCCCCGGAGAAAACAGGGATGCTGAGGTCTGGAGACATGGCTGGGTGGTTGTGGCTGGCGTGGGAGCATGGGGCTCCTGCCCTGTCAACTCGGTAAGGGGGCAGGGCTCCTGCCTCTTCCTGGCTCCCTCTGGACCCAGAGCACACGACCCAGCCGCAGCTCACTGGCTGCAGCCAGCCTCTTCACAGCAGCTCCTCCAGATAGGCTGCTGCTGCCATCAATATGGCTGAACGAAACTGGCAACTTCAGGTCTCTCGGATTACTTCCCCTTCTCTTAACCCTTTGTCTCTTTCAAAGCACAGAATGAGGCTGTTCTCTTCAGTTCCCTTTTCTACCTGGAAATCCCCCAGAACAAACACAATTGCCTTCCTTGTCCTCCCTGAAATCTCATTATCTATCTCAGACAACTGAGGAATACAACCACACCTGGATGGACCTGTTACAAGATAGTGCCTGCCTCTCAGGCTCATTCGAATTTCAAAGAGAATCATTTACAAGTTAATTTCTGTACCCTGGGCCTACTCATTGTCCCTAATAATCATTCACTGCTCCTCAAAGAGTTGTCTACATTCCCCATCTTCCATCCCCTATGAGGAAGGGTATATAAGCTTTTATACTCCATTTGCTTATTGGGTAATCATTATCTTACCCTGTGATTCTCCCCATGCAATGCACATTAAAATAAATTTTGTATGCCTTTTCCCCTATTAATTTGCCTTTTGTCAACTGGTTGTCAGCAAAACTGCAGAGGGGGACATGGATATTTTTCCTTGGTCCCTACCACTAACTTGCTAAAATTTGTTTTATCAGAAAGAATCTGAATATATGCAAATGAAATCTCATCAATGATTATGGGTGTTCACTAGTCTAAATATGATTGTTTACTATATAATATAGCTGCAATAGCATACTCATTTGAAATAAAATATTTAACATGTTGAAGTAGAATAGAACAATACTATAAAGTTAAATAATTTAATTTTCATAAGTGCAAGAGCTTGAGGAAAGCAGGCTTAATTGGAAATTATGGAAATTTTCTAAGATTTTGAAGAGATGTGGTGGTGAAAGATGCTGGCTTTCCTTTTAGCTGTCACTTCAAAATATATAGCTCCCTCTTACCTATCTGCAGATGTAGTACTAGATCTAACACTAAGAAGCCACAATTAAAGTCATAAAATGAACCAAAAGATGCTAGAGATGGACTGAGAGAGAAAGCTGAAATAGGGCAGAGAGAGGGAGAAAAGCAGAGGCAGGTGATTGATTTCCTGATGAAACTGATGAGAGGAAACCACAGGCAAGTCTTAAAGTGGGTGTAAGTCTGTGTGAGAAATGTTGATGAAAAAAGCCAAACTTTGTAAAATATTTAAAGAGGTTTATTCTGAGATAAATGTGAGTGACCACGGGCCAAGGCACAGTCTCAAGAGCTCCTGACACCATGTGCCCAAAATGGTTGGGTTACAGCTTGGTTTTATACATTTTAGAGAGATGTAATTCACCAATCAATACATGTGAGGTATATATTGGTTCAGCCCAGAAAGGTGGGACAACTCGAAGCACAGGTTCTGAGGTGCTTACAGGTCATAGGTAGATTCAAAGATTTCCTGACCTGCAATGGGTTGAGAGTTAAGTTATTACCTAAAGACCTGGAATCAATAGAAAGGAGTGTCTGTCAAAAGATAAGGCATTGTGGAGATCAAGGTTCTTATTACATAGATGAAGTCTCATAGAGGACCAACCTTAGAGACAATAGATGATCTATTTAGACCTTTAAGAGGTGCCATACTCTCAGTTAGTCTCTTCACAGTTGGGAAGGCCTGGAATGGGAGAGATCTATTTACGTTAATATAGATTCTTTACAGATGCATATTTCCCCCCACAGAAGACAGTTTTGCAGGACCATTTGAAAATATGGCAAATAAACATATTTGAGGTAAAATATTTTGATTTCCTTCTTTATGTGTCATGTGATGTCAGACTAGAGTCAGGTTGGAATTAGATATCTTATTGATACAAAGAGTCTGTTTTGTCAGTCTTAAGATCTCTGTTTTAATGTTAATGCTGATCAGTTGCACCTGAACTCCAAAAGGAAGCGAGTAGAAAGAAGCATGTCTGACCCTCTCTTTTCTGTCATGGCCTGACCTACCTTTTCAGGTTTCCTTGGGTTTGCTTGGCTCAGAGTGAGATCCATTCAGTCAGTTGAGGGGCTTAAAATTTTATTTTTGATTTACGGAAGTGTTTCCAGAGACAGATCAATTAGTCATGAAAGATCAAAAGGGAGTTTATGAATAAGTAATTCAAAATAAAAGCTATTGGAAATTTAAACTATTTTGAGCCTTAAAGGAATGTGATTATGGGCCCTTAGTCATGTGACAGGCAGCTGTAACCTTTGTTCCTCTGATTGTAGATTAGCCTTTTGTTTATCTACATTGTTTTGCAAAATGTTGTAAAAGACTAAAGGGTGCCAGAGAAGACCCCCTTCCCTTTCCACTGTTGATTTTCATTATAGATTAACTTCCTTTTTTTTCTTTTATACAAAGGCCTCAAAACTATCACATCACATTGTCTATGATGGAATGTTAAATATATTCTTAAATTGGAAAAGGAAAACAACTGTAACTAACCAAACTGCTGTAACTCATAAACCAGCCTTTTGTGAAAAATGTTGTAATCTTGTCATTGATTTGTTTTCTGCCTATATAAGCATGAATTGTCAGCTTTGGAGCACTTACCTTGTTTCTTTGGAGTCTGCGTTAGTCGAGTGGCTATTCTCAGCTTTGCAATTGAATAAACTCTTTTAAAATGGATTATGATTATTTTTATTATTTCAGGTTGAAAGGAAGAAGCAAAAATATCAGGCTAGATGAATTCCTAACAGGAAACAATATCTGGGTATTGAAAGAAGTGCAGTTGAAGAAACATATGGATGGCTGTGAGTTGTGTGTGTACCCGGAGTTTGCTAGGTCAGGAGTTTATTTCTCAATGAACATATGTACAGGGGTTTAATGGTTCTGGTCTATCTTTTAGAATATAACTGATTAGTTATTTATTTTGTCCTAGAAATATCTACATATGTTTTAATCTTGGAAGAGACCTAAAATATTTTTAGTGATAAACAAATACTTTTGCTGCTAAAAGTGCAAAAATCACACACTCTGGCTTTCCTGTTCATGCTTTTTCACTTTTTCATCTTTTGTTTTAGAATCAGGAGTTAGATGTGCAGGTTTGTTACAAAGATATATTGTGTGATGCTGATATTTGAAGTGTGAATGAATCTGTCGCCCAGATAGTGAACATAGTAACCAAAAGTTAGTTTTTCACCCTTGCTTCCCTACCTTCCTCCTCGTATTGTATTCCCCAGTGTCTATTATTCCCACCTTTGTGTCTATGTGTATCCAATGCTTAACTCCTACTTGTAAGTGAGAATATGTGGTATTTGATTTTCTGTTCCTGAATTAATTCACTTAGTATTATGGCTTCTAGCTGCATCCACATTGCTACAAAGGACATGATTTTCTTCTTTTTTTATGGCTGCAAATTTATTTCAATTATAATTTTATTATCTATGGAATAGGTACCCTAATACTCATATATGAGCATGAGTATTTGGAGGAATTTAGGAGGTAAGGGAGATGTTAGAAAAGAAAAATAGCTCAGACCAGTCTGAGCTATGTCAGGCATGAAAAAATTGTCAGGTCCAGAAATACATGAGAGTGGGACTTTACTTATAGCCCCCCACCCCCATATCCTCACACATGCATGGGTGTTTAAAGAATTTCTGTTTTTGATTAGCTGCCTCACCCGTTATCTTTATGTTCCTGGAATTTGTGATGCAAATAATGATGTATAGCCAATCAATAGCTTCTGTAAATTCTTGGTGAACTGCATCTTCTTTTCCTTTAAAAAAATCTCCTTTTTTTTTTTTTCTTTCTTTTTGTAGAGAGGGGGTCTCCCTGTGTTGCTTGGGTTGGTCTTAAACTCCTGGGCCCAAGAAATCCTCCTGGGCATCTCAAAGTACTGAGATTGCAGGCGTGAGCCACTGCACACAGCTTTAAAACCTGCTTGTCACTGTTGTTAATCAGAGTGTTTTTGGGGCTACTTCAATTTATGCTCCCAGGTTGCAATTCTCAGGCTTGACCCAAATAAACTCTCTGCTTATATTGATCTTGCCTCAGCTTCTTCCTTTTAGTTGGTTTGATATTTAACATTGTGTCTGGCGTATGGTAAGTACTTAATAAATGGTAGCTGTTGTTAATTTTTTGTATTTGCTCTGTGTCAGAACTGCTGTTTGATTTCTTATTGTAGCAGCTGAAAGAACAAAAGCATTCATCCTTCTTGGATTTGCATTTTGCAGTGTAAGCAGGTGGTAAATATGTGCCTTCAGGCATCCCCCTTGGGTACATAATCCTATATTCCTGGCCTGAGTTCAGTTCCATAGATTTTATCTCCCAGAGATATTTGGAGAGATAAATATATAACAACGAAGAAATAAAGAAGAGTTTCTTCCATAGACAAGTTTAGAACTGCATTTGGAGAACAGTGACAGCTATCCAGTACTCCCATGGGCTAACTGACTTAGAAAAGACATTAAAAGGAAAATAAATGAAATTGAGAAATTTCAGTAATTATTTCTAGAAATTCCTCTACATCATAGACCACCAGTTGGCAAGTGCTTCTGTTAGAGAGATAGAATGGAGGAAGACGTTGTGATACAGAAACCTGTAGCTGTCCCTTTGAAATTCACTCTTTCCTTACTAATAGAAATAGGAGAGTATTGGCTGACCTTCCTTATAGTTGATGATGGCCATTTGACACCGTTCTTTCCAGTGAGATATAAGTGAAAATTATGCTGCCATAGGGGCAGGAAAAATAATAATTTTGGACAGGAGCTGTGGCTCATGTCTGTATTCCCAACACTTTGAGAGGCCAAGGTGGGAGGATCATTTGAACAAGGAGTTTGAAATAAGCCTGGGCAACATGGTGAGACACCGTTTATACCAAAAATTTAAAAAAGTAGCCAGATGTGGTGGGACATTCCTGTACTCCCAGCTACTGGGGAGGCTCAGGAGGGAGGATCATTTGAGCCCAGGAGATAGAGGCTGCAGTGAGCCATAATTATGCCACTGCATTATAGCCCAGGTGACAGTGAGACCCCATCTCAAATAATAATAATAATAATAATAATAATTTTCTCTCTACTAAGTTCTTAACTGAGAACACTGTAACAAAAGGCAGTTTAGTAAGAGGAAAACACAATTTTATTTACATCTATACCTCATATATGCATGTATAAACTAAAAATAAAATTCTAAGCCCCTTAGCTGACTGAAGGGACCATCTCTTGGCCAAGGGAACCTCAAAGTAGACTTGAAAACTGTGTTCTAGGCCATGATGAGATGGGAAGGTTGGACATGCCTCATTATACCCCACTGCTTGCTTATTGCAATTAGGCTTTCTTCACTAAGGCCTAAACAAAAAGTAGCCCTTTCAAAAGACTCCACCACTAATATCCACCAACTGCCTGTTGCTTCCCCTCCTTTTTTTACCTGTTAAGAGACCACTGACCATGGAGGAGTTCTGGCCAGTCTATGGAGAATGCCCAATAAGAGTTTTTGTGTCCTCTCCTTTATTTTTTGACATCAGAGGGCTGAAAACTCCACCCTCAGATCACCGCTAGTTTTTGAACATGGAGACTCGTGAAGCTGTATTGCACATGTGTGCACATGTGGACACACACACACACAATTTCTCCTTTCATAAATATTTATGACTCCTCCTACTGCTTATTGAATATGTATATGTGGCCACCCTACTCAGCATAAATCCCTGTTCCCTTTGACCCTTCCTCAAAGTATCTGTTTCTGGCTTCTGGCTGGAGGCTATGCTTCCCAGTCTTTCAGAATGGCTACCTGCAAGCTATAATCCTCTATAAGAAACAAAGTCTCCTCTTCTCGTTTTCTACATTTATAAGTTGTGTTTTTCTTTTAAGCTAACACATGGGAGATACTAGGAGAAAATGAGGTGGCTTAGAATTCAGGCTTGAAACCATTTTCAGCTAAAGACAAATGGAATTGTCACAATATACCCCAACAGACAGACCAAATGGACTTTCTGTGGCTACAATGAGACAAAGCAAAACAACAACAACAAAAAAAACCCTAAAACAAACAAACAAACAAAAAACTCCAGAATTTCATGGCTAGTAGGATGAAGGATTGTTCATGTATCCTGTTGTTGTTAATTTACATAAGGTTTCTTTTCTGTAATTAAACAGAAACCAGCTCCTGAAAAACATTGCCAAAACAACTATAATTGAAAAATTTTCCAACCAATACTAATAAATCACTGGACTCCAACTGTCAATGCCCTTTCCTTGCCTTGTGGTCCTGCCAGCACTCTGATTGGACAAAGACCGTTTTTATCACATTCTTTATTGATAAGTGACCATAGATCTTAAGCCAGTTTCAGTCAGCTTGCAGAGACTATGTCCAAATTCTTTTTGCCCTAGAGTTTACCTTTTGACATAAACAGTCGAATCCCAGCTGAAACCTCACCCCCAGGTCAAAATGGAATGTATGTTACATACAAGTTTATCCAATTTTCAAGCACATGACTTCCCCTATAAATATTCATGGAATTTTCCCAACCGTGCTCTGTATGTATTTAAGACTGACTCTGTGAGAGTTTTTTGGTGGGTAGGTCTATGCAAACCAACCCCAAAGTCCCAGGAAGCTGAGAGGCTGAAGAAAGAGGTTGATACATCTGGTATCTAGAAACATTTAATAGGGACTTAGAAACAGAAGCCACACCTGTGGCTTGTGCAGCAGTGAGGCAAGATGATGGGTTCCCACACTATTAGCCCCCAGACCCAGAGGGGTTTATCTATTGTAGGGGAGATTACATGTAGAGGAGAGGTGCACATGCTTCAGAGGGAATGGGTAGAAATTTGCCCTAATAGCAGGATTTATGATAAGTACTTGTTCTTACACAAGGGACAGTAGATAAATTGGAAACCTCAGAGGCCCTCCAGAACTGGGGTTAATCAGAAGCCAACATGGCAGATTAGCATCCAAGATGGAGTTGCTTTAGCCTCCAGATTCCACTCCACTAATTTGGCTTTTATAATCTCACACACCCTCATCTTCTGTTATGGTCTCTGAGCATTTAGGGAGAGTACTTGATAGGATATAGGTTTAGCAGAAGTGCATTGGTGATGGGAAACAGATCAGGCCCAGTGGGGTTCCAAATGAAGAAGATTCATAGGCTATTGAATCACCTCTAGTCTTCAGAATATCATGCCTTCAGTTTCTTAGAAGTAAAACAACGAGAGATACACACCATTATATGCCAGTTTTTAAAGAGCATGAAGAAAACTAAAACCCAGCTCTTTTTTAGAGGCCTCTTGTAGCCAGCAAATAGTTCAGAATTTAGCCTAAATTGTAGGAAAATAATAAAAATTCAAAAACAATGGTCAGGACCTAGAATCCAATTTTTTCTCTCTCCAATTTCTTCATTTCTACCAAGGATAAATTATGGCAGGAACAATTTATTTGCAAAATTTTAGTCTTGTTATAGTGAGACATAATAGACCAGCTCCCCCTTCCTTCTGTGAAGCATGCACTTTCAAATTTTCGCAAAAGTCGCATTTCCCCAATTTTGGTGTTTCAATTTTTTCTCTTCTATAGTTCAGTGAGTGGGAGGGAGTGGTGCCAGTGGCTTCTCTCCTGTTTGGCAAGCAGGAGAGAATGTTACTGCTCTTTTACTACCACTGCTCACAGCTCGGCAAGCAGGAGCATTACAGGTCTTTTGCTTCCACAGTTCGACGACTTCCAGGTTCTTGTCCTGCAACCAAGAAAAATAAGATATGCAGACACCTGAAAGTGAGTAAGGCAGTAGAATTTTATTGAGCTACAGAAAGAAAGCTGTCAGCCACACAAGCAGAATGAAAGTGGGTAGCAGCCTGTGAGGCTGAGTCCAGGGTTTTTATGGGCTTAGAAGAGGTGAGTGTGTACTGATTCGTCTGTGTATGGTCTTGGAAAAATCACTTTTCAGTTGGCTAAAAGGCTTCATTCAGAAGGAACCAACTGAGAGTGGGTAAGATGGGAATAGAAGTTCTCACTCTGGTCAGGGACTCTATCTGGAACTGGCAGCTCAGTTTTCAGGCTTTAAACTGTCTTTGGCTTGAAGGTTAGGTTTCACTGGGAATCTGTCTCTGTCTGCCTATGAATATGTCTGTCTCCTGCTGCTATCAATCCCCCATCTGAAGAGGTACATCTAGCTGTTAGGATAGGGACAATGACCGTTCATACTGACAGGGAGCATTGTTTTGGGAAAATGGCAGTCAGATATCATTCAGAGACCTGTAAGTGTCCCTGATAAAAAGGAAGCCATCATCTAAGGCTCCATTTGCATGACCCTTTGGAGTTTGATGGCCTTTAGGCAAGAAGAAACAAATTTTACAAGGAGGTTAAGTATGCATGGACCAAATATAAGTATTATACAAAGAGGAGCTAAAAGGGAACATTTAGTGCCAGAGATAAAAGAAAAAAGTAAAGTAGACTAATTATTCTGAAAACAATGTTGTGGCCAGAACTGTTTCACCCTTGTGAAGGAAACTAAATCTTGTATGGGGGAGGATAGTTACATTTTAGAAGAGAGATAGTTGTTTAAGGGAGTAGATAATCCCATGGGTGTTCAGGATTAAGGGGTCCTTGGCAAAGACACCTTATAGTGAGGAACAGAATGAAGATAAGAACAGCAATCATAGACAGGACTATAAAGAGGATATCCATGAAAGGTTAATTATAAACACTTACCTTTTATGACTTTTAGCTTGAGGTCTCTGATTTCTGCACACTGGTGCTTTTGGTGCTCTTCTGGGTCAACAGAGGTAATTCTATCATTTCCCCAGGCCTTTGCTTGAGTGTAATGAACCTATTCCAGTGACCTTCACTAATGAAGGAGGAGAAAGAAGTATAGTGTAATGTTCCTCCCACTCCAGGCATACTGGAATATTAATGTTTGAAGAGGAAACAGAAGTTATTCATCTAAGCATTGCCATTTCTAGCCAGAATTTTGAGGGAAGGCTCTGGGTTTGGAGTTAATAATTTAGTTCTACATTTCGTATTTGCCATTCTGTAGTTTTATGATTTGGGGTAGATTATTTAACTTTCTCACATAAAATATATTTTACCTAACCTGCTAAACCTTACCTTATTTATTTATTTTTTTTTTTTTGAGACATGGTCTCATTCTGTAATTGATCCTGGCGTGCAGCGGTATGATCACAGCTCACTGCAGGCTCCACTTCCCAGGCTCAAGTGATCCTCCCACCTCAGGCTCCTGAGCAGCTGGGACTACAGGTGCACACCACCCACATCCAGCTAATTTTTGTATTCTTTGTAGAGATGGGTTTTCTCCATGTTTCCCAGGCTGGTATCAAACTCTTGGGCTCAAGTTATCTGCTTACCTCAGCCTTCCAAAGTGCTGGGATTATAGGTATGAGCCACCACACTCAGCTTAGTCTGAAGTTTCTTATATATAGAATGCTAAGGATAGCTGGTGTGCTGTTTATCTTTCAGAATGGAATTAATAGATGAGAACCCTTTGTATGAAAATATGCAAACAAAAGGACAAAAAGTTACTTCTGTACCCTCTGTAGTCCCTTAAGGAAATAACTTATTTTTTGTTTCCTTTACCAGGAATTTATATTCTAACAGTTCCTCCTTATTGGCCATTAGTAAAATTCCCAGGTGTCTATTTCAGGGCTTCAGACAATCAAGTACTTATTAAGAACTTACATATTCTTAGTATTTTTGTATTAGACATTAAGATTTTATGTTCCACTTAGAAGATTAAGAATAATAGGTCTAAATATACTGTAGCACATACACTTCTTTGTTTTGAAAGGCTTAACCAATCATTTGTTACTGTTTTTCCGTTTTTGTCTTGTGTAATAAAAACACCTAAAAATAAACACAGAAACAAACATAAACCAGTATTAGATCGTTCCATTGCAAGGAAGTAAATACTTAATCAAGATAGTAACTGCTTCTTAAAATGGCAGGTATATGTCATGTGCTCACACTCCCACATTGCCTTAAGTTGTTCATTCTCAGAAGTAAATGAAAAGCCAGCCAAGGTCTCAGATTTAATATCAATATTCTATTTAGACTCAAATATGTGTACCTTGGGTCCAAGTAGGCACATCTAAGCCCATGTATTTTCTTTTATAAAATGATCATATTGCAACTCTTTGCTTTCATATTATGTATTTCAGAAATAACAAAAACATCAGATAATGACTTTCCAATGTTTTTTCATGATGAAAAATGTCTGGATATATGGAACTCACTTTAGTTTCCATATGTACATATCTAGCTATGTAACAAAAATGTGTCACACACATATGACACAGAAATTAGATGTGTTAAATATGAGACTGCTTTCTGGTTTGCTATTTTATCTTAATAGTATATAGACATACTCTCATGAATCTTTAAATTTTATTTTTGTTTATTTACTTATTTATTTTGAGACAGGGTCCAGCTCTGTTACCCATGCTAGAGTGCATTGCACAATCATGGCTCACTGTGGCCTCGAACTCCTGGGTTCAAATGATCCTCCCACTTCAGCCTCTGGATCAGCTAGGACTATAGGTATGTGTCACCATGCCCAGCTAAATTTTGTATTAATTTTGTAGAGACAGGGTCTCGCTATGTTGCCCAGGCCAGTTTCCAACTCCTAGCCATAAGTTTTCCTCCTACCTTGGCCTCCCAAAGTGCTAGGATTACAGGCAGAAGTCACGGTGCCTGACCCACTTATAATTTCTTCAGGTGAGTTATGGGGGAAAGTGTTATTGTCTCAGTTGATGTAGGGAAATCCACATGCAATCTAAGACCTCAATGGGATATTAAACTTAACCTTATTCTCAATATGAAACCAGCCCAATTGTCACATGTAAATGATATTTATGGATTTTTGAAAAAAATAGAAATTGATCCTCCCAGTCTTAAGACATGAAATTTACATTTGTATCATCTGAGTTCCTTCCTTAGGAAACTGACCAGATCACAATATCCAGACAATGAGAAGCCAGCCCATTCATTTGCTTCCTTATCACTCCCTAATTCCTTTCCATAGGTAGCTATCCCTTCCCCCACATAGCTCTTCTTTTCCCCACTATATAAACCTCTCAATTTTAGCTAGTCCGGGAGATGAATTTGAGACTTATTTTCCTTTCTCCTGGTTGGTGTCACCCAAATAAAAAGACTTCTTCCCTGGTAATACTTGTTGTCTCGATAATTGGCTTTCCGTCCAGTAAGCAACAGGACCTAGATGAAATCCCTGGAGTTTCAGTAACACATACTTGCACCACTCTCAGGAACATCCTTAGGTTTTCTTGAGAAAAACTGAAGGGAACACATATATGAATCTGCCTTACAGAATCCAAAAAAATGGCATTTATCTTGTTTATCTACAATGTCTGAAGCTGAGGTCAAAGAATTGAACTTTTATGAAAGTAAAAAGATTTTCCTCTCCACTTTTGTAGCACTCTTCGTTTCTTTTCAATTAGGTACCCTCTCCCACTCCATTACTTTAATATTCTGCCCTTAACCTAACTGATGAGCTGAGAAGTTGAGACAGAGTAGGGATGGGACTCAGCACGTGCCAGACCTGGCCCTTTCACCCTCACACATGCATTTTTTCCATACCCACCAATTGTCACAGCTTACACCACCACCTCTACTGGAGCCACTCCTGATGATCACAAGACCTTGAAAAAACTAAGATAAGCAGCACCCTACCATAAATATTAAGGGAGTTAAAAAGCAACTTCTCACCACAACCCTTGCTCAGAGGAGTTGACCCTATTGTGTGCAGGTGGCTGCACACAAGAGCAGAAGAATGACCTATCTTCGTGCCTGACCTCATTATAATACTAAAATCCACACCCAGGGAGAGGCTTATCTACCATTTTGTGATAATGTAGTGTATGTACTAACATGATTTCTCACTGTGCTTGTGTGACCTGAGCTCCACCCTGCACATGTAACGATTGTCACATACCTCATACATACTCATGTCACCTTTCCTAAAAACACAGCAAAGGCCTGCCCTTAGCCAGCTGACTGGAGAACTCACGTGCCTACCTTGGCTCCCTGGTATTGGAACATAAGCCACTAATAAAGGGCCTTGTCTGGGAAACTTGCTTGGCTTTGTGTCAATTTCTATTGCACAGGAGCCTAAGAACCTGTGGTCAGTAACTGAGGCACCTGTAAACATTGTTCCTCCAGTTTTTCCTTTCTTCCCAGCAATGAATTCAGACAGGATATATTGGTGGCTCTGTTTAACCAAAAACTACTCAGTTTTTCTCTATACCCTTATGAGGATTAAATGAATGGAGATAAATCATGTCTACAGTGGAATCAAAAGTTCTCAAACTTGCCTGTTCAGGATAACTCTTTCTTATAGAAGTCAATTTTTTCATATATATTTTTTTATTTCTGATCCCCTCTTCCCACAACTTCTACCTCTAATTTCTATTCACTTTATTTTTATAGCATTTTCTTTCTCCTATGTAGTTCTGTGAAGGGGGTCTGTAGTGGATATAATCTATATTTAGTACATGATTAATTTTGTCTTTGCTGAGGTTTTTGTTTTTTTTTTTTTTTTAACAGCAAGCTTGTCCTTAATTTGCTGAGTTCTTGGCTATATTTTGTTATGTCCCAAATGTGCTGAAGTCTCCTATCACTCCTACAACTGCAAAAGAAACATCATTTTATAGTTTCATCCTTGTTTTGTTTTTTTTTTCCCTACATTGTAGAGACTTCAGAAGATGTATATACTACATTTTATTCTGAGATTTCTAACCTAACTTATTGTCCTTTTTTCAGTTTTCACATTTTATGAAAGTCATGCATACATGTAGTTTGAAAAGTTGTAGTTTACACTGAAGACTTAAACCAACAGTCTTATGTCCCACCCATCTCCAACTTTAATTCCCTCTTCCTAGAAATAGCCACTCAGTTTTTTTACCTGTTTTCTCTAACATCAACATCCATCTTTCTAAATAAAATTTTTGTCCTATTTTTTTGTTTTAGATATTACATACTGATATCTTTCTCTGGAAGAGAACTATGTAACTCAAATACGTTCCTCTTCCAATATTCTAACACTTTCTGTCCTCCAATTTTCCCCCGTATAACATACTATTTGCTTAGAGTAGTATGTATAGAGATTTTTATTATGAGTATGTAATTTGTACTCACATTTAAACCACAAAATGTACCATTAGTATATTCCCTTTTCTGTAATTTTTAGTTGTCTTGAAGTTAGTAATTGCCTCATTTCCTCATTTTCCAGGTTTTTATGTTCTAATTAATTCTAAAAATAGCCTCTGGAATTGTTAATTTTCTCTAAGGTACATTCAAAAAATTATTTTGTCCTTTTCCTTCCTGCCTGCCTTTTTGTCTTCCCCCCTTCCATGTTTTCTATCCCTCCCTCCTTCCTTCTTTCTTTAATTTTTCTGGACTTATACCCCTTTGACTCCTTCATACTCCTTCTTTGGACTTCAGTATTCTCTGTCATGGTGTGCTGCATAAATCACACTTGGATGTCACTTCACCAGTAACCTTGGAGATTTCCTTAACCTGTCATCTGTGATGATGCAATGTCCTATTCTCTGCCTTGGTCTGGAGTAGAGTTATTTCTAGAATGTTGCTGGGAAGGGTATATGAGAAATATATATTTTTTGATATTTTATTTATAAGGTATCTTTACTTTCTCTCAAAATCTTCAAGGCAGTACCCTAGTTTCTTCTAGCTTCAGTATTGCCTCAGAGAAGTCCAGTGATATGCTGATTCCTGGTCCTTTGCATGATATATGATCTTTTTTAGTCATCATTTCTTGGATGTTAATTTGTGTTGTAGTGTGTATTAGTAATTCGTTCCTTTTTATTGCTTAACACGATTCCATTGTATTAAGATGTTTTGTTTATCCACTCATCAGCTGATGGGAATTTAGATTGATTGTATGAATTTCGCTTCTGCAAATGTTTTTATACATGACTGTGTGTGAACATACATTTTTGTTTTTCTTAAGCAGGTAACTAGGAGTGGAACTGCCAGGTAATATGTTAAATGTAGGTTTAAATTTTCAAGAAACTGCCAAACTGTTTTTCAAAGTAGCTGTACCACTTTACATTCCCACCAGCAATGCATAAAGGTCTCAATTTTTCACATCTTTGCCAATACTTACACTCTAAGTCTTTTTCAATTTTAACTATGCTACTTTGCATGTAGAGGTATCTTATAGTTTTAATTTGCATTTCTTGATGACAAATTCTGTTGAGCATTTTCTCATGTGCTACTTATCATACCTCATAATGTGTCTATTAAAATATTTTGGCCATTATTATTATCAAGTTGTAAGAGTTTTTTATAGAGTCTGGATTTAAGTCCTTATTAAGATATATGATTGGCAAATACGCTCTCTCAGCTGTAGCTTGTCTTTTCATTTTCTTAATGAAGAGCAAAAGTTGTAAATTTTGATGATGCTTAACATCAATTTTTATTTAATACATCATGCTTTGATGTTATATTCGAGAAAAAATCTTTTCCTAATACAAAATTATAAAATTTGCTGGGTGTGGTGGCTCACCCCTGTAATCCCAGCACTTTTGGAGGCTGAGGTGGGAGGATTGCTTGAGGGTAAGAGTTGGGGACCAGCCTGGGCAAAAAAGTGAGACCCTATCTCCATAAAAAATTAAAAGTGAGCGGAGCTAAAGTTGGGAAGATCACTTGAGCCTAGGAGGTCAAGGCTGCAGTGAGTTGTGATCATACCACTGCACTACAGCCTGGCAGATAAAGTGAGCCCCTGCCTTGAAAGAAAAAAAGAAAAATTATACAATTTTTTCCTGATGTTTTCTTTGGTAAGTTTTTTTTTTCACATTTTGTACTTATTTTTAAGTCTGTTATATATTTTGAGATTAGTTTCTTATGTGGTATGAAGTGTAGGTCTAAAACAAATTCATCGTTTTGTATGTGGATATCCAGTTGTCTCAGTAGAAATTGTTGAAAATGCTATCCTTTTCCCATTTAATTACCTTGGCACTTTTGTTGAAAATCAATTGACCTTTCATTTAAGGATTTATTTTGGGACTCTATTCTGTTCCATCGATCTATATGTCTATTTTTATAACAATACCGCACACACTCTCAAATACTTCAGCTTCATAGGGTACTATAAAGTTGATTATGGTAAGTCCTCCAGCTTTTCTCTTCTGTTTCAAAATAACTTTGTTCATTTAAGGTCTTTTGCTTTTCCAAATCAAGTTTCGGATCAGCTTATGAATTTCTGCCAAAAATGTGGGATTTTCATAAGGATTGAAACTGTAGATCCATTTGGGGAGAATTAACATCTTAACAATATGGATTATTTCTGTCCATGAATATGAAATGTCTCCCCTTTAATATTTAATTTATCTCAGCAATATTTTATAGTTTTCAGTATACAGGTTTTTCACAACTTTTGTTACATGTATTACAAAGTATTCTACTCTTTTTAATGATGTTGTACATTGTATTGTTTTCTTAATTTTAATTTTGAACTTTTGTTTCTAGTATATAGAAATACAGTTGGTTTTGCTGTATCAATGTTACATCTTGAAAATCTGTTAATTTTTTTTTTATTAATTCTAGTAGGTATTCTGTAAATTCCTGAGGATTTTCTACATGAGGAGTGATGTCTTCTGCCAATAAAGAAAAGTTTACTTCTTCCTTTTCAATCTGGGGGAATTTACTTTCTATTTCTTGCTTTATTGTACTGGCTAGAACTTATAGTACAATATTAAATGGAAGTAGTGAGAATGGATGTACTTGTCTGGTTCTTGATCTTAGGGCAGAAACATTGTCTTTTATTATACGTATATTTTTTAAGCTATAGGTTTTATGTAGATGCATTTTAATTGGTTGAAGATGTTTCTTTTTATTCCTATTTTACCGAAAGTGTTTATCATGATTAGATGTTGGAATTTGTCGAATGTTCTCTCTGCATTTATAGAGATGACCTTGTGGATCTTGTGTTTTTTCTTCTTTATTCTAATATGGTGCATTAATTAATGAATATTTGATTTTTTTGCATAATCCATGAGAAGTAAAATGATGTTATATTAATCTTAAATTTCTGGGATAAATGACACTTGGTCATGGTGTGTAATTCTTTTTAATATATTGATGATCTAAAAACTATTTTGTGGCTGGGTGCAGTGGCTCATGCCTGTAATCCCAGCACTTTGGGAGGCCGAGGTAGGTGGATCATCTGAGGTCAGGAGTTCGAGACCAGCCTGACCAATATGGTGAAACCCTGTCTCTATTAAAAATAAAAATTTAGCCGGTTGTGGTGGTGGGTGCCCATAATTCCAGCTACTTGGGAGGCTGAGACAGGGGAATTGCTTGAACCCAGGAGGCAGTGGTTGCGGTGAGCTGAGATGATGCCACTGCACTCCAGCCTGGGCAATTGAGCAAGACTCCGTCTCAGAAAAACAGATAAACAAAAAACCTATTTTGCTCAAGATATTTATATGTATACTCATGAAGAATATTTTTCTCTAGTTTTTATTTTGCATGATTTTACCCCCTAGCTTTAGAATAAAGGTAATATTGGCGTCTTAGAATGAGTTGGCAAATATTCCCTCTTCCTCAATTTTTTTTCTTCTCAAACTTTTATTTATTGGAGATTAGACCTCCTGAACTAATTTTCTAAAGTTATTATCTCATTTCTCTTATGCTTATCTTTTTTTGTTATTGTCATAAAATACATATAATGTAACATTTTCCCTTTTAACTATTTTATGTGTATGGTTCAATGCAAATACATTCACACTGTAGTGCATCCATCACCATCATGCATTTCCAGAACGTTATTTTCCCAAACTGAAATGCCCTACACATTAAACAATAACTTCCCATTCTCCTCACTCCAATCATGGCAACCACCATTCTACTTTCTGTCTCCATGAATTTGTACCTGTGTACTCTATGTACCTCATGTAAGTGGGATCGTATAATATTTGTCCTGTTGTGACTGGCTTATTACACTCAGCATAACGTTTTCAAGGTTCATCCATATTGTAGCATGCATCAGCATTTCCTTCCTTTTTAGGGCTCAATAATATTCTATTTTATGTTTATCCCACATTTTGTTTATTCATCCATGGACATGTGGGTTGCTATATCCTTTTGTCTATTGTGGATTATGCTATAATGAGGAGTATACAAAAATCCGTTCAAGTTCTAGCTTTCAATTTTTTGGGGTGTATGCCCAGAAGTGGAATTGCTGAATTATATGGTAAACTTTTGAATTTTTGAGGAATTACAACATCATTTGTTACATTTATTACAAAGTGACTGTACCATTTTACATTCCCAGCAGCAATACACAAGAGTTTCAATTCCTCCGCATCATGCCAACCATTTTTTTTTTTTTCTTTGAGAAATGGTACCCTTCTATTACCCAGGCTGGAGTGCAGTGGTGCAATCTCAGCTCACTGCAACCTCTGCAGCCAGGGCTCGAGTGATCCTCCCACCTCAGCCTCTCGAGTAGCTGGGACTATAGGCATGCACCACCACACCTGGCTAATTTTTTTTTTTTCTTTTTTTTGTAGAGAGCGGGTTTCACTGTGTTGCCCAGGCTGGTCACAAACTCCTGGGCTCACGTGATCTTCCAGCCTTGGCCTCCCAAGGTGCTAGATTATAGGAATGCACCACTGTGTTCAACCTCCAACCATTTTTTTAAAATTAATGATTGACATTTGAATGGGTGTGAAATGGTATCTCGGTATGGTTTTGATTTGTATTTTGCTATTGATTAGTGATGTTGAGCATCTTTTAATGTGCTTTCTGCCATTTGTGTATCGTTTTTGGAAAAATGTTTATTTGCCCACTTTTTAGTTAGGTTTGTTGTTAATTTTTTGAGATGTTTCAAAGTCACATATTTAGATCTGTTATTGCAACTTTTATTTCAGCTAAAATTTAAACATATAAATATATATAGTTTTGCTATTTTCTATCCTCTCCACCTCCTATGGTGCGATATTTTCTATCTCTACAGAACAATGAGTTAGAGGTTAATAATATTGCATTTACTCTTTGTATTGCCTATATTAACTAGGCTATGATTCCCTTTAAAGATTTTTATTTTGGACTCTATTTTTTATGTTATAACTACCAGTGATTTTAAGATCTGTAATTTTCTGTTTATATGTAACAGCGAGTCTCTAAATACATTAATTTAAATTGACATACATATTTGGCCAACTGGTAGGCTTTGTTTTGGGTGATCTTGCTAGTCTGTATCATTGGAGGATGCCTCCCTCCCTATACCAGACTTTATCTGATTTTTATCTTTTTTTAGAACCATTTTCCTACAGGGGAATCTTCTCTTCTGCTTGTGAGGAAGGAGCCTTGAGTCTGGAGCAGAGTTATAAACCTAGCTACATGTGTTCTTGGAGATGAGTCATCTCACTATTTAGAATTCAGATTTTCACTCAGTATCTGTATTTTGATTACATGTCTTGCCTTTAGCTATGTCTGATTTTCCTGAGTCTAAGGATTTTTTTTTTTTTTAAATAGAACTTCCTTCTTCTGCCAGGTATGTGGGAGACATGATTCCCAGTGCACAGTATAGTGAGAATGTCTGGAGTTCTATCTCTCTCTTCTTTTTTTAAATGTGGAATTTGAGTCAAACCACCAGCTTTTAGCCCAATTTGGCATACATTAGTGGTTCTGCCATTGGCTGAATATTAGAAGTGTCTTGAAGATTTGAAGGGAAACAATATCAAACAAACAAAAAGTGGAAAAGATAGAAAAAAGAAGGGGAAATCATCATTTACTAGCCAGAGATCCTGGTAGATAGAGGGTTTTTTTAAAAAAAAACGCCTGATGTGACTGTACAGGGTTTGGAATGGCTGCCTTTCTTTTCATCTCTAAGCCTTCCATAGTCCCTGTCTTACAGCATCTCCTGCCACTGTTCACTTTTATAATGAGGCTCTAGCCACATTTTTGCTGTTTCAATAACACTCTATGTCTAAGCTTTTATGGGGGATGGTGGGGAGAAAATTGTTGCCATTGTTTTCCTTTTGATTTGAATCTCATGATTAAGATTTCTGAATTCTGCTTCCTTGCCTTCTTCAAGAATCTATTAAAATATCCGAAATTTTGCTTTTTTTCTAACCATCTGATTTTAAATAGCAGCACTCAATTTCTTATTTTTTTCTTCATTCTATGCTTCATTTTTCTCCATAGAGTGTTTGTTAATTTTAAAATACTACAGTTTATATTTTACTTCTTAACTTATCTTCCCTTGCTTCTTCCAGTTAAGTAAATGTTCTATGAACCAGGAATTTATATTAGTTCCATTCTCAGTTTTTCCTCCAGATTCCCAAAGAGAAACCTAGGTATAATTCTATGTTTAATAAAAAGTTGTCAACTCAAGAAATAAGTAAATGAGTTAACACATAGTAATATTTCAAAATATGTGAGAACAGTAGAGAAAAACATAAATATAATATAACACTATACATTTTATTTCTCAGCTTTTGATAGATCAAACAGACCCCTAAAATTAGGGAGATAGTAGGTATTCTGAATAAGATTAGTACTAAATTATTTTATGTTTCCAATGGTAAAAATAATATGAAAGATTAATAAAATCTTTATAGCTAATATAAAAAAATTTAAAAAATAACAGAAGTAGAATTGAAACCTACAAATACTTGAAAACAAAACAAAAATAAACTCCCTTCCTAAACAATTCTTAGTCAATGCAAATAATGATGAAACATCTGATTTTAAACTTCTTAAGTATGTGTCTCTATGGATTTGACTAAAATAATAAGTAAAATAATAAAATAACTTCTTAAGTAAAACTATAAGCAAACAAAAACTCTGCATTTTGTCAGTAATAAGTAATATCACAATCACCTTATTTGACCCAGGGACTTCGTATTATAAAATCAGTCAGAAGAAAAATGCACTTGCATGTGTATTGAAATTCCTTGAAAACATAGATATACAGTAGCTTCCAAATAACCAAGGAATATCAATATAAAATAAAAATATATTTAAGTACGAATATGTTGGAAAAGTTTAAAAGTGTATTTTTCATACGTATTCCTTTAAAATATTTATAAATTCTTTACCCTTGTATTCAAATGTGTTTTCTTATTACATTTCATACTTAGTATTTCAATAAAAAACATTTTCTCTAAGGCTAGTAATAAAATCAAGTTAATATCTTTCCATAGACTTTTATTCACTTTTCATGTTATGAATCTCCTTTTGTTGTTAAGAAAAGTACCCACTTGCGGTTCCGAAGAGCCACAACTCTCATCTTCAAACAGGTCAATGCTCTAAGCAATAATCCCACAACTGGAGACAATGTATAAGGCAATAAACTCCTCCTGTTCCATAAACAGTGAGCCCTGAAAGCTAAGTGTTTATGACAGCAGGAGCTTTACTGCTGAATGACATTTTCTAGTACTCTGGAAATATTGTGGAAGTGAACAGAGAAAGATTATCATGGCAAAGATATAAAGACTTTAACATTTTTACCTTTTTTTGTAGAATTTGAAGAATAAATAGAATTGATAAGCAAGAAACTATGTTTATTGCATACAAGAATTGTGTAAGCTATTTACTGAGTTTATCAAAGGCAGGCCTTTGGATCCACTCTGGTGAGAGTAGGTCACTCAAAACAATGCCACTGGATTTAGGAGCATTCTCTACTGCCTAGAAAATACTAAATGAGGAAAAAATAAATAAATAGGTAAATAATGTGTGCACCAAATGGTGGATCACACTGTTCATGAAAAAAATATATGTTGGCCGGGCGTGGTGGCTCACGCCTGTAATCCCAGCACTCTGGGAGGCCGAGGCGGGCAGATCACGAGGTCAGGAGTCTGAGACCAGCCTGGCCAACATAGTGAAACCCCATCTCTACTAAAAATACCAAAAGTCAGCCGGGCGTGGTGGTGGGTGGCTGTAATCCCAGCTACTCGGGAGGCTGAGGCAGGAGAATCACTTGAACCTGGCAGGCAGAGGTTGCAGTGAGATGAGACTGCGCCACTGCACCACAGCCCAGGTGACAGTGCGATACTCTGTCTCAAGAAAAAAAGGAAAATATATATGTTGATAACTTTTTGCTTTTAAAAGTAATAATGCTTATTGGGGTAAATACAAAAATAGAAGAAAAATTTTAAAACTGTGTATACAATCATGACCCAAAGACTTTTCCCATTTTGAAGGGTCTCTTTTCAATATTTTATTTTTACTTATTTCTTTTTATTATTTTTATTTAAAAATATAGAGATGGAGTCTCGCCGTGTTGCCCAGGCTGGTTTCCAACTCCCGGTCTCAAGTGATCCTCCCACCTCAGTGTAAACTGGGATTACAGGTGTGAGTCACTGTCCCTGGACTGTTTTCAGTATTTTTCAACATGTATATATGTCTTGAAACTTTAATTTTTAAGTTTTTATTGAAATTCTTGTTCATTTTAATTTAAAGTTGCCTTAACTCCATAAGATGATTGAAAGACTCTTCTCCAAATTTCTCAAATCAGAAGAAAGTACTGTTAAAAGTGTCAGTTGTATTCTTTTCCACACTTTTCTATACACATGAATAATCATATATATACATAAATGTGGATATATGTAAACAACTTTATTTATGAAATAGACAAAATTTTAAATCTGTACACTATTGTTTACAAAAATTTAAATTCTCTTTTTTTTTACTTATAATTGATAGGAATTGATATGAACATTTCACATTACTATATGGTATCAATAATTGTCATTTTTAATGGTTGTACTAACATTCTATTGAAAGAAAATGCCAAAATGTAAACAGCATTTACTTATTGTTATATACTTGGATTATTTGAATTTTTCGGCATGTAAGTTATATTTTGACAAACAACTTTTTGGAATTAATTTTTTTTTAATATTTGATTTGGAGTTAATGAAAGAAAACTCTTATCCTTTAGTACAAAGTTGCCTTTCTAGTGTGTTATACTATTTTTATATGCCCACAGCAGTGTGTCAGAGTCATTAAAACTTAATCATTGGAAACTTGTAAACATAGAAATGACATAATGTTATTCACAATTTAGATGAAAAAATAGTGGGCAGAAGTAGTTAGAAACTGAGTGCAGCAAATAAGGCAAGAAAAATTATGTGAAAACCTAAAAATATTTAATAGCACAAGCAATTATTTATGTACACACACATATGTGCACACGTGTTGTTTGTTTTTTGAGGCAGATTCTCACTCTGTCACCAAAGCTGGAGTGCAGTGGCATGATCATGGCTCACTGCAGCCTCAACCTCCCAGGTTGAAGGGATCCTTCCACTTCAGCCTCCCAAGTAGCTGTGACTAAGGCATGTACCATCACTCACGGCTAAATTTTTTTTTTAAATAAAGATGGGTTTCCACTATGTTGCCCAGGCTGCTCTGGACCTCCTGGGCTCGAGTGATGCTCCTCTTGCCTTGGCCTCTCAAAGTACTAGGATTACAGGTATGAGCAACCATGCCCAGCCTAAATTACATATTTTTAAATACTCTGTTCCAAGAATTGTTTTAAGTCTCTGGCAGGTTCTTGAGACAAGGTCCAGATACTCTCTTCTGAATATATATAATTAAAATAGTTTATATATATATAAGTGAACTTGACATATTTAGAGCATAATGGGGAAAACTTGGTCAAAATGACTTCATTTTCAGGCTTGATGACTAAGTGAATGATAATATTATTTTTTTCACCCTTTTTCTTGCTCTGTTTTTGCAACATTCCCCTCCTTCCTCCATCATTCGTAGCGCCATCTCAACTAAATGACTCTTACTCATTTTTCAGGACTAGGAAAAATGTCTATTCATCCAGGAAACCCTCCATGACCTAACCACATTTAATACAATGCTGTTCCTTGGTGCTTTCTTATTCCCTAAACAGACAGAGGGGTGGTGTCTTTTACGTACTTATTAAATTTCAGTACTAAATTCTTCTGTTAGTAATTCCAAGTTCTATTGTTCCTATACTTCTGAAGGAAAAGAGTGGCAAATCAGAAGAGAAGAATTGCAAGCCTAAGAAAGCCAAACCATCCTGATATTCATAGGTTTCAGTCATTTCCTTAGAAGCATTTTTCCCTCAATCATCTCTTCAATGACAAGGTCCAGTGTAGAATAGCAGCTTGCCAGCTTGACATGTACTTATTCTTTGCCTTCCTCTCTCTCTCAATTAACAAGTTCCTGTTATTTTGCTCTTCCATCAAGTCATAGACAATACTATTATGTGGTTGAATTAATTTAATGTCACGCAAGGTCATAAATGGCTGTACAAGTGTCATCTTTTATCGATTTATGCACCATTTGCCATGAGCTTGACTCAAAAAATTCACTTACTGCTGTTTCACTTCATTTGGAAGAATCATAACTGCTTAGATCTTTTAGAATGGATAGTCTCTTAGGAAATAGACTGAGGTATATTTTTGAAATTCAGTGCTATGAAACATATAAACTAAATCATAATGTAGTTCTGTCTAAAAATGATTTGTTTTCCTTGAAAAAAGCTATTCTTCATAGTTAGAAAACAAAGAAACTGTTTTATTCTACCACTTAGTTGATTCTACATAAGTTTCATAGGTGTAATATTATACGGGCATTTTGCATGTGGTCAGTGCTCTTAAGGGCTTTTCCCACAATCGTAATTTATTTTTGGCTAAATTTTCTAACTTAATCATGACAACATTCTGAAATTATTAGAAATCTCATGAAAATAAATTTATTTATTTATTTATTTATTTATGTTTTTAAAGTTTCCTCTCAAGAAGAGAAAATGTTTTATTTTTGACAATAATGTGTGTACATAGTATATATTCACATCTTTGCCATTATCTTATTTGGACACTGAGACAACATCTTATTTTCAATCAATTCTAGATGTCAAAATATGTGAATTCACATTCTGTTAGGAAATACAAAAGTAAAAATGTAAAAATTCTTTAAAATAAAAACTCACTTTTTTCTAGCTTCTGTGTTTTTTAACTTAACAATGTCATCTTGCTCTATAAATGTTCACAGAAATATAATTAACATTATTAATTTTTCTTTGTTTCTAGGTGAGAGTTGTTTTACAGGCACTTTCAAACCTAGGGACATTGGAAAAATGTACAATATTTGTTTTGTAAAATTTTCTTAAAATATGTTCAGCACCTAGCTCAACAATATATTCTCTATGAATTTCTTCCCAAACTGTTTAGCTAATATTGACCTCTGACTTCTCTGAAGTTGAGGGTGCCAACTTCTTCCTTTGTATCATCTACAACAGGGATCTGTACAGTTTCTGTAAAGGGCTAGTTATTAAGGGTTTTGGGGATGATATGGTTTTGTTGTAACCGTTCCACCTTTACACTGGATGTGAAATCAGCAATATGTAAGTGCATGAGCATGATTGTGTTCCTGTAACACTTTATTTAGAAAAACAGGTGGTGGGCTGGATTTGGACAATAGGCCATAGTTTACAGACCTGCGGTCTATAGCAAACACTAGTAATGAGAATACCCCCAGTGGCTAGATGGGTAGCATGAATGCAGCAAGCCTGGTGCATTTGTTTGACAGATTAATTTGTTTTGTTTATTAAGGAGGTGGAACTTCCGTAAGAAAAATATGTGTTTTCCTGATTTTTATAAATAGATGTGTTAGTTCATTTTGCATTTGTTATAAAGGAATACCTGAAGGTGGGCAATTTATAAAGAAAAGAGGTTTATTTGGGTGACAGTTTTGCAGGCTCTATAAGAAGCATGGTTCCAGCATCTGCTTCTGGTGAGGACCTCAGGAAGCTTCCAATCAGGACAGAAGGCAAAAGGGAGCTGACATGTCATGAGGGAGGGAGCAAGAAAGGTGGGAAGTGCCACACTCTTTGAAACAATCGGCTTTTGTGTGAACTAATTGAGCAAGAATTTATTGCCACAGGGAGGGCACCAAGCCGTTTATGTGGGATCCACCCCTGGGATTCAAACACCTCCCACTAGGCCCCTCCTCCAACACTGGGGGTGGCATTTCAACATGATATTTGGCAGGGGAAAATATTCAAACTGTATCAAGAGATTTTTATTGTGTTTTCTCACTTCTGATAGAAAGAGTTGGGCATAAGAAATATTTAATTATTTTTCACTTTACTACATAAATAAGGACAATGTCACAATAGACTCTATGCTTTGATATAGGTAGAACAGCAAGGAGTAGTGAGGACCATGAAATAGAAATAACACCATATGGGAGAGAGGCATAGTGTTTCAGATATTCCAATTTTTCAAATTTAAAAAATTATATTAAAAATTCCCCCAAATTTAAGTGTTGTAAATAATTTAAAATATTACACAGGTCAAGAAAGTGTAGTTTGTATAGGACATTTTTACTGGCTAAAGTTGAACCAACTATTTGCAGGATTGGTCTGACAGCACATGGCATAAAAATAGTGTGTGAAAAACAGATGCCAATTTACTAGTTTACTATGCTCCGTTGGGGGTCACGTGTTAGATAACTGAAAAAATATAAAGCCTGTTAAATTAAAAAGACTAGAAATATCAAATATCTCATTTTCTCTTACAGACACAAACTAGTTTATCAGTTGATCATTGGCCAGAAAGATAGGTCTAAAGGGCTTCTTTGATCAGAACCTATGTTACTCAATTATTGTCACTAGAGGAGGATTTGTGGTGGTTTTGTTTGGTAGCACTTTACCTTCTCATTCTTTAATATATACATATCAGCTATTTAAGCAGATAAGATCTAGTTGATAATCACAAGTGCTATTTATAAAAAATAAAATAAAACATCTCCAAACCTATCCAACTGTGGTTAATAGTGAATGTTGGTGGCCCTGTGTGGTGGCTCACCCCTGTAATCCCAGCACTTTGGGAGGCTGAGGCAGGCAGATCACCTGAGGTCAGGAGTTCGAGACCAGCCTGGCCAACATGGTGAAACCCTATCTCTATGAAAAATACAAAAATTAGCCAGGGGTGGTGGTGGGTGCCTGTAATCCCAGCTACTCAGGAGGCTAAGGCAGGAGAATCTGTTGAACCCAGGAGGTAGAGGTTGCAGTGAGCTGAGACTGCACCACTGCTCTCCAGCCTGGGTGACAGAGTGAGACTCTGTCTCAAAAAAATATAGTGAATGTTGGCTTTGCCATAGGATGATGTTGGGTACCGATGGTTTGACCACAGTTCAATAATTAAAGTCCCAAGATTCTCATTTTTTTGAAGAGGGACTGGGCAGGGGCTATCTTGACTTGTGCATTAGATGAGAAATAGGATGATGAGGGTTCTGTTGGACGTAATGAAAAGGAGAGGAATCCTCATCTTGGATAACAGGAGGCCCTAAGGATGGAGGAACATCTGTTCAAAGCTTAAGACCAAGTTGATGCAGAAAGCACATGTAGAAAGAAGAGACAAGAAAATGACCATATTGAGTATGCTGATAGGTAGACTTGAGAGAAAAGGTGGATACTAAAGTTGGGTAAAAAAAAGTATTAAAAGATCAGGATTAAGGAGCAGATGAACTGTGAGTGAAGGTAAAACTCAAATGAGCCTAGAATTTGCCCCAGATAATACACAAAGATTTATTTTCTTATGGGGAAAGATATAGACATAAAAATTAATGTTTAAAGGTAAAAATCATTCACTATGAGCCTAGTGAATTCTGTGGCAGGGATTTAAAAATGGTTACTTCATCAGTTTCCTAAGCCATTATCCCTTCAAATGTTAATGGAGAGAAATGAGCCATGCCCGAAACCCAGGCATTAGTAGCCAATTGTAATGAGGAACTCACCATGAAGCATTCTTCACTGGGAAAAATCCTGGAAATGTCTAAGTACTTTGACATATTTGTAAGCAAGAAAGCAACACCACTGTGAGCAGTTACCAGATGCTAGTGAGGCTCAGGGAGAGCTGGAGTGATGATGGCAGTGTTGCAGCTCTGCAGTCAAGGCAGAGAAGATACAGGAATATTTTACTCTTTGAATTTAATCTAATTAAGAAAGATAAATTTTGTTCTAATTTTTTCCCCATTGTAAGAAGTTAACTACAACTCAACTCAATCCAAGGCAGATTTGGCACAGCTTTTGGATGAGTTCCTTATTTCATATGCCTAGTAGCAACATCACTGGATGAGTTCTCAATTGTATTGCAGGAGGGATGTGTGACTGTTACAGACTAAATTTGGGTGCAGCTATTCATAGTTCATAAGTCTTTGGAAGGTCTAATAATTTGTGTAGAGTGAATATATTAACACAGTGAAGTTCTCTGAGAGTCTTTTTATGCATTGTATTCGTATCCACAGGTTTTTAAGTAGATTTTCTTTCCTGGCTTTCTCTTCCTCTTTTCTTTTCTCAGCAGCAATAGCTATAACCCAAATATGGCAGGCACATTTCTTGGAACACGTGCATTCATAAGCACAGTTAGTGATGAATGACAATATTGAAAGAAGAGTTTATTTTTTTAAATGCCCACTAAAGACAGACGATTAAAAACTTCAATATGATTTAACATAAATTTGTCAAAGCTATATTTTGAAAATACTCATACATTTAAATAAGAAGCTCTAAAACCCCACAAGAAGCCATTTAATATTTCACATAGCTGCAAATGCATATATTATTTGAGGTCAAATTAAGCCATAAAATATAAATGTTAAATTGTAAAGGAAGCATAAAATTCCATCCCAGATTGATTGTATAATATCTTAGCGGAAGACAGAGGTATGTGATCCAGGTTCTGATGAAAACAAAGATTTTTGGTTTTGATAAAGATTCTTTGCCTGATCAAACTTAGGCTCCTGAAGCTTCTCCTAGGTCCATCTGTGCTCTTCAGGTTCAGTAAGAGCCCTGCTAAGTCATTTTAGCAAAAACTTTCCCATTCTCAATATTTAATTGGATTTTCAACCCTAGCCTTCCCCAGGTGATGTTTGGTATTCCCTGAAGAAGCCTCAAGGGGGAATAACCCATTTGGCCCTATGCGGCAGAGATGAACCTTTTCTTGACATTAAAAGGAGGCTTTTTATTTAATGGGTAATTTTTCTTAAAACTTGGAGCATTTCAACTACTATTTTACCTTTAAAAACACCCTTACAAAGAGGGTTGCCAAATTTAGCAATAGTACAGGATGCCCAATTAAATTATTCATAATTGTCTGTGCATATGCTAAATGTGATAAAATTAAAATATTCTATGAGCCACATTTCTACTAAAAATTATTAATGTGAAATAAATTATGTCTCTAAATTACATATCTCTTTCTTCATTTGTTGATTGCTGTCTCCTTATTAGTTCCTTATTTTTCAAAATTTGCTTATAAAATTTTATGCAGTTACATGTGTTCCATTTACATTGTAACGTATCTTCTACAGTAGTCACATTCAATTTATTTTATTCCATTGCCCATTAAATATTTATCAATAAGGAGACACCTCAATATTAGCATTATAAGCCAGTATACTGAATATGCCCTTGTTTAAAGTTAATAATACTGAAAATTGTTCTATAAATTTGATTTGTTAATCCACATAATACCACCTGTCATGACATAGTTTGTTTTTCCATTCTGTGGAATTACAGTGCATCCCTTGATCAATGACCTTATTAAATGGTGTCCACCAACAAAAAAGAACACTGTCATCAATTTTTATTCCTATCTTCTTTTACATGACACATAGAACTAAATACTCTTCCTTCCAGCATGTTATCAAATGGAATTATCATGTGTGATTTTGATAAAACTACAGTGTTTCAAGTAAACTCAAGTGTCTCTCAACTATATTTGTTTAAGAGAGCAAATGGATTTTTAATGAAAGAAATTGAAAAATACTGAATGGCAACACAAACACAAAAATACTTTGCTAAGTTTTAATCGTAAAATTCCTGAAAGAGGAGGAAAATTTTATGATAATAATGTCAATGTCAATTAAAAGGACATCAGATGTTCTTTGAGCCACATTATGCAAGATATGGGCAGGACAACCAACACCTTCCATAGAATGAATCATGCTTTGTTTCAGTTGTGAATGAACACGTCTGCCTGTTTACATAAACATCCACCACAATTTTATTATCTTCACCAAAAGCAATACAAATTTTCTCAATAACTTCTAACTCAATATGAGAGTCTCCACAAATATTTGCTATTGTTTCTGGAGTCTCATATGGATAAGATTTTGTTCACAATATCCTTATAAGAAGCCTTCTTCAGAAGAAAAAAGATTGCACTACCAAAATAAATAATGGCTTCTTCATTATTATTACTTGTACCCTTGAATGTGCCAAAAAAGTGAGCCATTTAGATATTTAATAACATCTGTAATAGTAAATGGAGCTATCATCCTTTTCTGTTTCAGTACATTTCTTTCTGGCAGTTGAAAACTTGATTGCAAATTTGGAATTAAATATTTCTGGATATATTCTCAAGCAGTCTCTTGAGCTGAAAGGCTGATAATATTATATAGTGCAGAAAGTTATTATTGAATCTTCTTCGCCTGAATTAAACTATCAAAAATTCTAATTTTGGTAAGGATGTGAGCAAGATGGTGGAATGGGAGGTTCCTTGATCACAACGCACCCTGCAGCAATAATTTTGCAGCTATTTATAGACACAAGTGTTTGGTGGAGTTTGGGGATTCAGGTAGAAGGTTATAAAAACCTGGTGGAGCTCAAGACCTAGAAGGGGCTGGGCACAGTGGGTCATGCCTATAATTCTAACACTTTGGGAAGCTGAAGCAGGAGGATTGCTTGAGCTCAGGAGTTCAAGACCAGCCTGGGCAACATAGCGAGACCCTGTCCCCATTTAAAAAATTACACACACATACACACACACACACACGTCTATAAGGGCTCTTTTGAAAAGACAGACCTGTGCCCAGGCGGCGGGATCACCAACTGTGGTGTTAGCTCCAGATCCAGAAATGGCTGCATCCCACTGTGAACATAGCTACAGCCAGGTTTTGTCTTGATCTTGTCACCAGAACCATCTACCAAGAAACCTGGGAGGAGTCACTCTCGTTTCTGCCTCTGGTGACAGAACTGCTGATGTCAGTACCAACTGAGGACACTGAAAAGGCAACTTGGCTCCGCCACTTTTAGCTGAAGTTTGAAAGCAGCCCTGCCCATAAAGGGTCCAGGAGAAAGATATTCTTGTTTGAGTCCCTGAGGCATACTTGCTAATCTTGGCAACAGAGCAGATCCCAAAATGGCCATATAATAAATGATTCCAGCCCCTCTTAGATGTCATCTTCTGAGAGCAGTCCTGCTTGTACGGGTACATGCCAGGAGACACATTTGTCCAATGCCCTGGAAAGCAGGCCTGCAGAACTTGGTCCCAGCTGTGGACCCTGAAGCAACCCTGCAACTTTGTTCCAGCCCCTCTCAGCCATACTACAGCAAATACTGCCTGCCCAAGGATCCACTGAGTAACACAACATAAACCCTCACAAAGTACCTGGAGGAAGACACACCTCTGTGCACACCTAGTAACAGTCCAACTGTCTGCAGACCCTCATTCCAACACCAGCCCTACTGACCAAGGTCCTATAGGCAGTTTAGTTCACTCAGTCCAGAGAGGATTCACTCCCACTTGGGCCCCCGGTAACAGTCCTGACAACTGGCAGAACCTACTATGAACCCGGCAGCAGCCATGTGAACTGATTCTAACACTACTCAACCACAGTACCACAGGCAATCCTAGTATGCTAGGGACATGACAGAAGAAAGTCTTTACCTTCCAAAAGCAGTGTTTAAAGGTTGAAAGGAATGTTATTTCCCTTCAGATGCACAGACATTAGTGCAAGTCTATATGGATAACAAACCATCATTTGAAATTAGCCAATAAAAGGAACAATAAGAAAATTAAAAAGAAGAAAACATAAGGAACCCATGGGACACCATGAGGCATATGAATATAAAATTATGGGAGTCCCAGAGGAGAAGAGAGAAAAAGGCAAAAAAAAAAAAAAAAAAAGTTATTTAATGAAATACTGGGTAAAACCTTCCTAAATTTTGAGAGTGATACGGACATCCAGTTTCATGAAGCTCAAAAGATCTGAAGCATGATAAACTCAAATAAGTATATCCTGAACACATTATATTCATTTGTTAAAAAAAGAGAATCTTGAAAGCTGCAAGAGAAAAGAGATTTGTCACATGCAAGGAAACCCCTATGAGGCCATCAGCAGACTTCTCAGCAGGAGCCTTGCAAGCCAAGAGGAAATGAGATGATATATTTAAAATACTGAGAAAGAAAGAACTGCCAACTGAGAATACTACATCTCACAAAGCTGTCCTTCAAAAATGTAGATAAAGACATTCCTAGAGAAACATAATCTGAGGTAGTTCACCACAAGGACAAGTCCATTACAGAAATGCTAAAGGGAGCTCTTTGAGGTGAAATTAAAAATGCCAAGTAACAACATGAAAACATATGTAAGTATAAAACTCATTAGCAAAGGTAAATGTATACTCAAATTCAGATTACTCTAGTTCTGTAAGGGTGATATATAAATAACTTTTTATATTACCATAAAATTCAAAGACAAAAGTACTAAAAATAACTATAGCTATAATAATTTGTTAATAGACACACATTATAAAATGATGTAAACTGTGATATCAATAGCATGAAATGTGGAGGAAGAGTAAAAGTGGAGTTTTGCATGTGATTGAAGTTAAGTTGTTTTCAACTTGAAATAGAATGTTTGAAGTATAAAATAATTTATGTAAGCCCCAACATAGCCACCAAGACAAAAACCTCTCATAGATACACAAAGGATAAAAGAAAAAAGAATACAAACATGTTATTATAAAAAATCAACACAGAAAGACAGCAAGATAGGAAGAAAGGAACAAAGGAACTACAAAACTGAAAAACAAAATTGCAAAAATAAGTATCTATCAATAATTACTTGAAATGTAAATAGATTATATTCTCCAATCAAAAGACATAAAGTAATTGAATAAATACATAGTAAGATTCATGAATATGCTGCCTATAAGAGAGACTCATTTAAGGACACACATTGACTAAAAGTGAAAAAACAGAAAAAAAAATTCCATGAAAATGTAAGCAAAGAGTGCAGGGGCTACTATACATATAAAAAAATAACTGACGTTCAGTCAAAATTTGTCACAAGACACAAAGAAGGTCATTATATAATGATGAAGTGATCAATGTATCAGGAGGATATGACAATTATGAATATATGTGCACCCAACATTTTAGCACCTAAATATATAAAAACTGATATTAACAGAGCTGAAGAGAAAAATAGCAATACAATAATTGTACAGGGCTTCAATATCCCACTTTCAACAATGGTTAGATTATCCAGGCAGAAAATCAATAAGGAAACTGCTTACTTGAGCAACACTGTAGACCAAATTGACTTAGCCGACTTTAAAATTCCATGTGAAAAATCAAAGTATTTTCAAGTATTTTTCTAATCCCAATGGTATAAAACTAGATACCAATAATAAAGTCAATTTAAAATTTTTTCAGTGTGGAAATTAAACAACACACTTGTGAACAGGCAATGAGTTAAAGAAGAAAGCGAAAGGGAAGAAGAAAAGGGAAATAAAAAATTATGTCTTAAGGGAAATGAAAATGGAAACACAATATACCAAAACCTTTTTGATACAGCAATAGCAGTTCAAAGAGAAAAGTTTATAGTGATAAATGCCTACATTAATAAAAAGACAGTTAAATAAACAACCTAATTTTACATATCAAAGAAAAAGAAAAAGAACAAACTAAACCTAAAATCAGCAGAAGAAATGAAATAAAAAAGATCAGAGAAGAAATAAATGAAATAGAGACTAAATAAAAGATCAACAAAATTAAGAGGTTTTTTTGAAAAGACAAATAAAATTGGCAAACTTTTAGTTAGACTAACAAAGAATAAAAAGAGTGCAGACTCAAATTATAAATAAAAGATATTACAACTGTTATCGCAGTTGTTGGATAAGTTCCAGAAACACACAACCTATCAAGACTGAGTCATAAAGAAATACAAAATCTGATCAGTCCAACAGTAAGGATATTGAGTCTATAATAGAAAACCTGACGAAAAAGAAAAATCCATAACCAGACGGCTCCACCGCTGAATTCTACGAAGCACTTAAAGAAGAGTTAACGCCAGTCTTTCTCAAACTCTTCCAGAAAATTAAAAATGAGGGAACACTTCCAAATTTACTATATGAGGCCCTCTTTATACCCAGACCATAACATAACATCACAGATGTTATGTACATATATGATCATGGAGATTTCAGAAGTTAAGCTCTCTTTAAAAAAAAAAATCTGTTTTTCTGTTTGGAGCAGAGGTTGCAAAACTGTGATGCCTAATAAAAATATTGTGTAAAATATTGTGCTCCAAAACCAAGAATTAGCCCAAATTGGCAATAACTGTGACTTAAAAACTAGATCCAATTAGATCTTCACTGTGGCTATGCAACTTTTTGCTTTGTGGCCTGAAGGTTTTTACTGAGGTAACAACCTCTTATCTCTTGCCCCTTCCCTCCACCACAAAAGCAAAAACAAACAAAAACCACCTCTACAGCTTCCTTCTTCTTGGCTGTCTTTGGCAATGCTTCTGAATCCTGAAAGCAAAAGAACCTACTGAAATACATGAGGAGGATGAAAACACTATATGCGATGTGTAAAAACCAATCTAAGAGTACGAACCCAGAAGGAAAATACAAGAAGGAAGGCTGAACAGCCGACTACCCTTAAGAGATACAGAGAAATTTTTTTTAAAAATAGGGAGGCTATTACTCCTCTGGCCCTTTTTCCACATTATCTCCCAATTAGAAGAGTGTGGAACCAAAAATTTAAACTCTGTAAAGGTAATGGCTTTGGAGGAGGAGCTAGAGAAGTGAGTAAATTATAAAGAAGTACAGCAGTAGCTTTAGCTGTCAATAAGTTTCTTTGCTCTGGCATTGCCAATGTCAATAACAATCTTTGTTGGTGTCAGTGAATAGGGATTTTTTTCAAAGAAGACAAACATATGACCAACAGGTCCATGAAAACGTCCTCAATCTGCAAATCAAAATAACAATATGATATTATCTCGCATCTGTTAAGATGGTCATTATAAAGAAATAGAAGTGATCACAAGTGTTGGCAAGGGGGTGGAGAAGAAGGAACCCTACCATTGTAAACTGTTTGTAGAAATGTAAACTAGTACAGACATTATTAAAAAAAAGTATGAGAGGTTCCTAAAAAAATTTAAAAAACAGAAGTCCCACAGGATCTAGCAACCCCACTTCTGGGTAAATATCCAAAGGAAATGAAATCAGCATCTCAAATAGATATCTGTACCCTTCCTCCATACTCACTGAAGCATCGCTCATAATAGCCAACATATGAAAATAACTCATTGAAGCAGAGTAAAATGGTGTTTGCTAGGAGATGAGGAATGAGGAAATCAGGAGATGTTTGTCAAAAGGTGATAATTTATGACTTTTTGGTACTAGTTGAATAAATCAGACATCTCGTATGCCTAGCTGTTAGTATATGCTGGTTTATATCTTACTTTCTACCATTTTTGATAGTGAATGATATTAAATGAACAATTGCATATTGTACAAATTGCTTCAAAATAATTTTTCCTTGTTTAATAAATTACCACCTCTTAGGTTATTTGTCCAAACATTTACACTTTTTTTTTTTTTGGCATTGGGGGTTCAAATATGCACAACTTTAGGAGTCCAATGTGCTATCTATTACACTATAGAGGCACCTTCAAATATATACAATTTTAAAAAAGCTAACAGTAATTTTCAGAAGAAATGAGGAATGAAATTTGCTCATCTCACAGTGTATGGGCAAGTCTGTCACTCACAAGTCTGAACTCATAAATAAATGTAAACAGGGGTTGAACTGTCGAAAGACTGGGAATATGTGAATGAATGAATAGAATTCACACCTGATGTAAAAAACGAACTTCCCATTTGCCTGCAAGAGAGACCTGTTCTTCGAAGGCACAGCTTTGTTGATTTTATGTGAGGTTTGGGGAAGGTCAGTGTTCTGGAATTCTCGGATTTTCAGGAGCAGAAGTGTTTAGGGATTGACAGACTTGCAGCTGTGTTAGTAAAGTCTTGGGGGAAAGGCCACTCTTGATGGCTGACTTTCAGTAACGCGGTCGCAGGAGCGAATTACTCATTGGCTGACTTTCTGAAGTTTGGGACTGTAACTGATTTGCTAACTTTCCAAACTATAGTTACTATTCTGAGGCTGCCGCTGATTGGCTGATTTTCAGAGCAGGTTTACTAATCTGAGGTTATCTCTAAAGATGTTTTCTTGTTCAGAACCTGGGATTTTAGCCAAAAGAATAGTCTTTTTCTTTCTTAAATATGAAAAAATAGTACATTTAATTCTCATCCCTTCATTTTGGTTTTTCCATGCCAAGCTTGCAGGAGAGATCATAAGGAATTGTTCAAATTTTTATTTTCAGTATTATGATATTCACCTAGTGTTGCCATCTTTTAAGTAATTTAAACTCTAATTACTATGGTCTAAAAATATCTCTAACTGCTGACTTTTTAAAAAATTTAACATAAGGGCCGAATAGAGGGCATTTAAAGCATTCTGACAAAGTCAACATAGGATACAGGAAAACATCATTAATTATACAGCATGTCATGTGTATATACAGGATGTTCTGCAACACTACTTACAAAGTTATTTCTCTAATTAGGTTTTATGTATATATGGGGAGCACATCGTAATGGTATTCTGAATAGAAAAAAATCCAAACACAGATTGACACCTGCTTCAAACTTTTCATCTTAATGTCACAGCTATGTTTTTTAGATTTTTAATCAGAATTTTAAGAAATGTCCTCTATTTCAGGAGATAAACACATAAACACCAGCAAATCTGATGCAGAAGGTCATTAGTCTCCAAGCAATTCTAAGCTTTTTGATCCTGGATAAGAATAACAAAAAATTAACGCTGGAAGAGACAGGAGAAATTTGAGGCCCAGATAAGCAAAATAATCTCTGCTCGGGATCATATTGTTAATATTAGAGTTAGGGCTGAGTTTGGATTCCTGGTGTCCTGGCTGTCATTCCAGGTTGCTTCTTCATGCTGTAGTTTAGTGAATGCCATGGACTTGACAGTTAGTCCTAGTTCAAAACTTTCTGTTTCATGAATATGGGCAAGTTATTTAATGTCCTTGAGCTTCAATTTCCTGTCAGCAAAATAGGAATAATTATGTTTTCCTCATAAGATTTGTTGTATAAATTGAGATAAATTACATGTTGTACTTGAAACAGTGCTTGGTGAACAATCTATATTCAATAAATTTTAGCTATCATTGTTATTTCATTGTATCATATCACACTATTGTATAAGAAATCAGCATACGACAAAGATAATGACTCTATGGCAGTTGAGTTTATGTGTGTAACCATCTTTCCATTTATGGTAGTAAGGTCTGTTACACACATTTATCTGAAAACCATCTGAATCTGAGAATAATTATTTGCCTACTTTTGGGGGGCTATGGGGGAGGTGGACAGGGTCTTACTCTGTCTCTCAGGCTGGAGTGCAGTGGTGCCATCATGGCTCACCACAGCCTCGACTTCCTGGGCTCAGGTGATTCTTCCAACTCAGCCTCACAGGTAGCTGGGACTACAGGTACATGGCACCATGCCCAGCTAATTTTTTATATTTTTTGTAGAGATAGCGTTTTGCCTTGTTGCCAAGGATGATCTCGAACTCCTGGGCTCAAGTAATCTGCCCACCTCGGACTCCCAAAGTGCTAGCATTACAGGCATAAGTCACAGCATCCAGCCACCTATGTATTTTTATTTATTCATTTTAATTGATGCATTGCAATTGTATATATTTATGGTACACAAAAAATTTTATGCTGTGTTTTAATGCATACCTATGTTGTATAATGATTTAATCAGTTCCTGATGCTTGTTCTTTCTAATTCATGGGTGTACAATCTTTTGGCTTCCCTGTGCCACACTGGAAGAAGAATTGTCTTGGGACACACACATAAAATACACTACCACTAACCATAGCTTATGAGCTACTAAAAAAAAAAATCACAAAAAAACTCATAATGTTTTAAGAAAGTTTGTGAATTTGTGTTGGGCTGCATTCAAAGCAATCCTGAGCCACATGTGGCCCATGGGCTGTGTGTTGGACAAGCGGCTCCACAATCCCCTAAGGTCTTGGACTCCTCCACTGGGTTCTCAGCATTTGACGCTGCAAAGAGGAAGGGAGAGAGATCACGAATGACTGTGCAGGTTTTGAAAAGCAAGGCCTGAGAGTGACATTTATCATTTTTGAAAGTTCTCATACAGAGAATACCGATAAATGTAGTCAAGTTGTGAGCCCACAGGGGTAAGAGAAATAGAATGTGGAGAGCATGGCCAACACCAACAGAGAGACTGTAACATGCTGATTCATATGAGACACATAGGAGGATCTGAATAACCTACAGATCATTTATTTGCACCAAATAGCATGAGTGAATTGGCTATGTGTCATCATTCCATAAAACAGGTGAAGAAACTGAGGACGTAAGTGAATTATGCAAGATTACCCACTGAGACAAGGACATAACAATTCTTTTTCAGGCACTATGAAATTAAATCTAAGGTTCTTGATTCTATATCCATGTAAATACTTAGACTAGAACCCTAGATTAATGTTTCAGTAGAAAGGTATTTAAATTAATTGGGGTAACTAACTTGCCAGTCACTGAAAACCCTTCTTATGTTTTTAATTGCTTCAAAATTAAACTTTGATTCTACATCATTATTTTTTGGAGGCAACAAGACGGATTTTACAGGTCCATTATTTTCCAGATTGTTCTTAACTGCTTTTCTAGGGCTAAAAGATTAATTTGCATTTGTTTTTAAAATAAAATTTTAGTTTGGTAAGCAAAATGTCCCATTTTTCTAAACCTCATTAGCTCTGTGAATATTCATAATGCCTTAATATTTCTTTTTAAATTCTGTGCTTACTTAAGTAATATTTTTCTTGAGGAATTTTCTGAAAGCAGCAATACTATGCCCTAACATATTAATGAATTTTAGGCAAGTGTTTTGTGTATGTTTAAATCTTTTAAGTTATTAATTAAGCAAAACTTAGATTATAAATAATAGCAATATTTAATATAAAAAAGCAATAATTTCTGAAATGGGAATACTGGATATTTTTATACAGATTATCTCAATGATACTTTTAATGAGTAAACTTGGAACTTGGTAAGCAAAAGCCTGTAGACATTATTTTAACCTTCAGTTTTTCTTTTATTAACACTGGATAATCAGAGGACATTTGCTTTTAGCTAATGTATATTTACTGGACTTTTTGAAAGGTACTGAGGATAAAGGCCAGTAACTCAAACTCCTAGTGAGACCAATTTTATTCCTGTTAGGTTTTTTTTATGTTTCTGCTGAATAAATGTTTGTCATATGAGTAGATATAAATTTACCCATTAGAATTAGCATTCATTTCCAAAGCCAGTTAAACTTTCATATTGATATTGTTAAAGAAAAAAATATTGAATGACATTTGTTACACATAGTAAGACAGGCATTATTCAGGATGATTGCAATAGGTAAAAGGACCATTGCAATAGAATTTTTCAGTGGGAGAAAGAGATTGGGTTCAATTCCTAATACAGTATGGCCAAGTAGGAATTTATAGCCAAGAAACAGGGTAGATCCACAGGTCAGAAGATAAGAAATTGTAAAGAGGAAACATCAAGGGGTAGGCATGTGGAAGTCAAAATAAGAGTGTAGAGATGAATCTCTAGTATTTTATTTGACATGAAAGAATTGCAGTTTGAGCCACAGATACAGACTGGAAACTCTTTGGTATATCTGAAGAGCAAAGAGAAAGTTGGGGGTTTTATAAAAAAGGAGTAATGTTACGTGTGGTCCCGAGAGAAAGTTCATTGGTATTAGTAAAGCTTTGGGGGTCGGGGGTGGCAAGCTCTAATTGGTAGGCAGTGGTGGTGAGCAAAATTAGTCCTAGAGTTTCAGCAAATTATCTCAGCAGCTATAGATAAAATTGGTTTCAGGTCAACACAGGCAATTTCAGCCATCATATGTGCAGAGAATTACATTTCTAGAGCAATGTTATGTACTCTGAGTGCTTTTTTCCACCTGGCCGCTCAACTCTCATTTAGTTGGGTGTGAAAAGAATGACCCAATTCAGATCATCAACTGTCACAGGATATTTTGGCTAAACTGACCTAACAAGATTGTTGCTGAAGGCTGACCTGGGAGATCAGACATCTGGGGGATGATGGAGGATGAGGAAACTGATCATATAGTGAGAGTGATCAGATATCAAGGGTGGGGTGAGGGGTTCATGTTAAACTGATTTAACAGAGTTCTTGCTAAAACTGTATTTTTTAAGGCAGTGCACAGATGGGCCTACAAGAAGGTGTAGGAGCATGACTAAGCAAACAATCTTTTTCAGTACTTTACAATAAAGTTTCAGTTTATATTAAGTTCTTCTTGCATTTATCCAACCAGGCTAAGCTAGTTGTCCTTTCATAAATGTCACCATCCTGATTTTCTGACCTATGATTAGGGAATGAGCTTTCAAAATAAATTTCTTTAATATTTTTTTCAAGTGGCTTCTTTTTTTTTTTCCTTTTCTTTTCTTTCCTATAGAGCTGGAAAGAGGAAAGAGCTATAGAAATTACAGCATACTCTATCTTTTTGTTCTTTTAAAAATTTAGATGTGTAGTAGGTCACCAAAGTTAAAACAGCCATTCACTGTTTTAAACGAATCTTTCTTATGTTTAACTGATTTTTTTTTAAGGTGGAGTGCTTCAAGTCAGAAGTCTTAGTTTCCACCTTTTTTTCTACAAAGAAGTCACGTGAAGATGAAAACCACAGTATCTTTTGTATAGAATTGTCACTGACAATCCCTTTTTACATGTTATAAGATCATCAAAAGGTGCCAAGTTTACCAGATAAAATAGAGGATTCTCAGTTACATTTTTATTTCCTCTGAGCAATGAATAATGTTTTAGTGCAAATAGGTGCTGACAGTTGCTGTTTATCTGAAATTCAAGTGTAACTGAGCACCCTGTATTTTTGTTTGTTTAATCTGGTAGCCCTAAAGCATATTGTTCTCTCTTTCTCAGTCCCACTTCTCAAATTTTGGAGTAAGGAACTGGACTGACACAGTTTAGGTCATGTGTCCTTTTTGAGTTTCACGGTCCACTGCCAGGACAAGGAGTTACATTTTTTTTAAGAGAAATAATAACTTGTCTTGGGTTAGATACACAGACAAACAGATGAGGACCTAAGCAGGTTTAGAGTTGGGCATATACAGAAGACAGCAAAATAGTTATGATGGTGTTCTGAGCTCTAGTTTCTAGCTTGTTGCTATGGCTCACTCTTGTTTGTCTTCTTGAGTTTTCTCAAGTACCTTAGCTCCTTAAATTCATTATTAAAGCTGCGTCAAAATGGATACCTCTAATTTGCGACCAAAAAATCTTAACTACATTATTCTTAGTGGTAGTTTCAGATACTATAGAAATATTTATTGTAACAATATCTGCCTAATAAGAACATTAATTGTTTTATTTTAAAATATTAACATGTTGGAGCTTACCAGGGCTTTCACTACACTTCCCCTCTATCCAATCAAAGACTCAGGATTTGACAGTGCATCCAATTAGAGGAAAATAATCTTGACACTATGCAAATCTGGTAAAAAGCAACACTGGAGAAGAAAGGATGATAAGTCCTGTTCATCTACTGCTCTTTGGTAAAGGATATGGATTCCTCTTGTCAAAGTGAAATAATTGAAAGGATCAGAATCAAATATAAAAGAATTTATTAAATTGCAAAGTTAGGATAGCCATATGGGAAACACAGACTCCAAAGGAATGGAGTCAGTGCTTCAAACCTGAAAAGTTAAGCTTTTGCTTACATAGGCAGAAAACAAAAAAAAAATTTAATAAGATTATAACATTTTCCATAGAAGGCTGGTTTATGAGTTACAGCAATTTGGCTGGTTAAAGCTGGGTTTTTTTTTTTAAACATCTTTTTTTGGTTCAATTTAAAGAGTCTATTTAACATTCCATCTTAGACAATATGATAGTTGTGAGGTTTTTGTGTAAGAGAAGGGGAAAGTTAATCTATAATGAAGATCAACGCTTAAGAGGGAAAGGGCCTTCCCTGGTGCCCTTTAGTCTTATAACATTTTACAAAACAGTGTAGATAAACAAAAGGCTGATCTATAATCAGAGGAACAAAGGTTACAGCTGCCTATCACATGACTCAGGACCCATATTTACATTCCCTTAAGGCTCAAAATAATTTGAAGTTCCAACAGCTTTAATTTTTAATTACTTATTTTCACACTCTTCAGTCATTTGAAGGACATGTTTTCCTTTTCTGTCTAAGATTGTTATCATTGAAAAACAATACATCCAGACAGAAGAAATATGTTTTATACAAAATATTTGGAAACCACTATCTTATAGAGCATACTACTCTGTATGTTTTGTAGACACAAATGAAGAGGAAACTAGTCCCTGACTTTGTGATATACAGAAATTACCATATAGAAAACAAACTTTTAAAAAGCTTTGCCTTTTATGTAGGTCATGAAATTTAAAACCTAGGTCCTTGGCAGGGTGGATTATTTCCCTAGAATATCAGAGGAAGTGAGACCATTTTTTTCTGGCCACTGACAACAAGTTGTAATTTACAGAGCTAGAGATGAGAGAGCTAGCCTTTGTAGCCATTTACATTTAATGCTCAGTTATATGAAGTTACGTGCTTCAAACTTGCATACATAATATGCTATTATAGACTATTTATAGTTCAGATGTTGTTTACATGAGTGAAATAAAGAAAAATCTGTCATTCTGTATTACTCAGTACCTTGCTGGTAGTCACAAGAAGAAACAATTAGAAGCATAGAAATACTGTAAGACTTTTGTAATTGGTGCTCTTAAGAAGTCAGTTTAAAACCAATGATTTTGATTTTTATTAATAGAATAAATAAATCTAGTAGTTGGCATCACCTAGAGCTAAATGAATTAAATAGATTTGTTTTTAATCTGCTGTTATGAGTAAGGACATTAGATATATTTCACTTTGATGATTTTGCCAACTGCAAAAATCTTTGTCAGTATTTTACAATAAAGTCTCTCAATTTATACTAAGTTCTTCTTGCATTTATACTATACTATATACTGTATAGTATATATACTTGTTTTTTTTTTTGAGACGGAGTCTCGCTCTTTCCCCCAGGACGGACTGCAGTGGCGCTATCTCGGGTCACTGCAAGCTCTGCCTCCCGGGTTCACGCCATTCTCCTGCCTCAGCCTCCTGAGTAACTGGGACTACAGGTACCTGCCACCGTGCCCGGCTAATTTTTTGTATTTTTAGTAGAGATAGGGTTCTGCACTATAAATCTGAGAGCTTTTAAAGGGTAAGTTTTTAAAGTAGTGTTCTATGGAAGTGTAGGGGTCAAAGGAAAACTTCTCCTTTGCTCTCTGAAGGTTCACTGAAAAATCAACTGACAAATGGCAGATTAATTGGAGAAAAGGCATACAGATGTATTAATGTGCACATGGGGGAGAACAATAAAATGATTGCCCCAACCCTCCAGTGGGGCCCAGATACTTATATATAGCCTTATTTCAGAGGGGGTGGGGAATATATGTAATTTTCTTGAGGGGCCATAAATTATTACTAGGGAGAATGTATGAAACAAGGAACAGAGATTAATCTGTAAATACTTCTCTTTGGAAATTGAATGAGACTAACAGACAGATATTATCTTGTGAGAGTCTATTGAGGTATGGTTACATTCTTGGTTTTCTTTTCTCCAACAGATAATGAGATAACAGGGAGGGTGTATTAATCTGTTCTTACACTGCTATAAAGAACTACCTGAGAATGGGTAATTTATGAAGAAAAGAGATTTAACTGACTCACAGTTCCACAGGTTTAACAGGAAGCATGACTGGGAAGCCTCAGGAAACTTACAATCATGGCGGAAGGTGAAGGGGAAGCAAACACCTTCTTCACATGGCAGCAGGAGAGAGAGTGAAGGGGGAAGTGCCACACACTTTTAGGCCATCAGATCTCATGAGAACTTACTCACTATCATGAGAACAGCAACGGGGAAACCCACCACCATGATCCAATCAACTCCTGCCAGGCCCCTCCTCCAATATGATGTGAGATTTGGGCAGGGACACAAATCCAAACCATATCAGAGAAGAAAAAGCAATTGTTATCCTCGAAGGGTGGAGGGGGAAGGATCTGATCTTTATGTAGATAGGGGAAAATCCTCTTCCAGTGTCTATTGATTTTTAAGGGCCTTTAATTCAAAATACTCATTATACCTGGGAGCCATATTTTGGTGTGAACTTCCCCAAGCTCCTTCAGAAGACAAAATTTTAAATTGCAAACCTTCAATTAAATTTCCAATTAAAATTCTGAACCCTAAAATGGGTGGATCATACTCATTATGTTTAAATTTCCTTCTAAATTGAAGATAATATATTCAAAGCAGCTTAATGACCACAAACTGGCTAATTTTAAATAATCATCAGCAAATTGAATGATTATGTATTTTCTGTATAGTTTCTCTCAACACAAACACAACTCACTCTTTTAGTTTTCTGTCTATTCTAATGAAAAACATGACTCTACTAGATTTAAATTGTTAACAACAATTTTTTTCCTCAAAAAAAGGTTTTCTGTATTTTAGTGTCCATTTGCTAGCAGACTGACGTCAACCCTAATATACTCTTCATTCATTAATTCATTCATTCAACAAATATTTATTGAATGATACTGATACTGTGCCAGGTCCTGAATGGATATATGAAAGTAGAAAAAAATATCAAGCAGGATGCATTCTCTACAATTATTGAAGGTATTGGTGGTACTGGGATTCAGAAATGTACAACATAAATTAGCTTTTAATTTTTTAAAAAAATATGAAATCTAAGCTGTAGTTTATATTAGCAGAGAGATTTAATAAGAAACCTATGTGAACAGCTGGGAAAATTTTCCTCAAAGTCATAGCCAGAGCTTCATATCCAAAGGATTGGCAGTGTAGGACAAATTTTGAGATAAAATAGAAAAAATAAAATATCTGGGGAACGTGCATTTTGGCTGGCCAAGAAGCAGTGCCAACACATATGGCCACTTCTGAAGGACTAAGAAATTTAAAAAAAGGGAAGATAATTCTGTTCATTTGACCCTCTTAGTGCTCACTGTATGTGAAAAACAAACATATGTTTATGTTGGCTCAACAGTATTTTGTGCTTCTTGACAAAGTCAAAGGATTACAGTGTTCATTGATGGAACTTTGTGAAATTATTTACATCCCAAATCACAAGTAATTGGCCCTACTAATTGGTCTAGAGTTGCCAGGTTATTTTCTGTGCACAGTAGGTGGCATATTTTTAAAGCAATGCACACAGATTAATGAGGGATTTTGTTTTCATCTGGTTATGCTTCCATGCATAGGAAATCTGGCAGAATCTCTTTGAAATTCTCTTCCTGTTGAGGCGATTAGCTAAAACAACTTCAGAGACAAATGTTAGCCCATATTTATCTTTTGTGAGGCGTGATGGAGAAGCCAGCAAATGTTTCAGTTAAACAGTCCTAGACATTGAAAGAATGGGCGGAGGAAGAGAGAGCCAAGTCAATATTGTACAAGCTAGAGAGAATAGTTTTCTCTGAATTCTAACCACCCCTAGGAATATTATGAACTATTTACTCTTCTAATTTTATGTATTTAAGATAAATCCTTCAAGTTTAGATTCACTGGTAGGCATATTCTTGGCATTTAAAGGAGGCACTTGGTTGTGAGAATGAACAGTATGTGTAAGGTCATTTAAACTGATGAAATACAGTTGAATTTAGATTTAACTCTCTTTTATTTCTCACCACTTTTAGAGAAGGTATACTTTCCAAATTTAAAAATGTGCAAACTGAGTTGAACCAATTTGCTAGTGATAATAAAGGACAGTAGATTCAGGAAAATGATAGTGGTTAAAGATTCAGAATTAAAAATGACACTGACTACCTTGAATCTGAATTATTTGACTTATTAACTGTTGTAGCCTTGGAAAAATTCTCTAACCTCTTTAAACATCTACTATTATCATCTTAAAATACTTGAAGTTATTACTACTCAGTGAGATGATGGATGAGAAGTATATACCACAGTGTCTGCCCACAAACAGTGAAAAGATCCTATTGGGGCATTCATCATTTGGTTCAATTTAAAGAAGTCGCGTTTCTAAATTTAGGAATTTATTAATCATCTGAATTAAGATTCTCTCTTATGAGACTACCTTTCTCATGGACACAACAACAGGTTATTATTTATTCATTTCATGTTGAGTATCACATCATTGATGATTGTTAAATCGAGAACATCATTAAATGGGAATGCTGAGAATGAGCATCCTTGCCTTGTTCTTGATCTGAGGAAACAATTTTGTCTTTCACCATTAATGTAGACTCCCCTTTTTAGTTTATTGGTCACTCTAGAGATTATAATGCATATTCTTAAGATTTGTTATGTTTCTAAAATTACAATTTTTTTGGAAAATTCAAGGCCTGTGGAATACCTTATTAATTGTTAACCCTTTCTCTTTAAAAGTTATTTTACAAAGCTATATACTTAAAACCCCAAAATATTATTATTGTCGTTTTACAGCCAATATTTACTTAGACTAATTCAGATTAATCAATATAACCTGTGTTATACCTCTACATTTCCCTGAAGAGTACTATTTAGTATTTAGTATTTTTCTTAACTTGGGTCTTTCAATATCACCTCTCTCAATTTTGATGTAAAATTTTTATAATACAGTTATCCCCATTCAGTGGTTCACAGACATCATTCTATAGTCTTCCAGCTACAGTGATTTCTGTTGAGAAGTCAGCAGTTTGTGTGCTGCTATTCTGCTATTTGTGAAGTAATATATGTTTATGTTTTACTTTGGTTTCACTTAATTTTTTTGTCTTTCATATTAATTTTCTAGAATATTTATGGTTCTTATGATTTTATATGTATCTTGTGCAAGGTGTTTCTTTTTTTGTTTTTGTTTTTGTTTTGTTATGAGATGGAGTCTTGCTCTGTTGCTGCGTAGGCTGGAGTGCAGTGGTGCAATCTCAACTCACTGCAACTTCCGCCTCCCGGGTTCAAGCAATTCTCTTACTTCAGCCTCCCGATTAGCTGGTACTACAGGCATGTGCCACCATGCCTGGCTAATTTTTGTATTTTTAGTAGAGATGGGGTTTCACTGTGTTGGCCTGGCTGGTCTCAAACTCCTCACCTCAGGTGATCCACCCGCTTTGGCCTCCCAGAGTGCTGGGATTACAGGCACGAGCCACCGCGCCTGTCCTATAATGCTTCTTGGATCTATAGTTAATATATTTAGTTGATATCTTTTAAAAGTTATCTTCTTACTAACTTTGTAACTAGTATCTTTCAACAGTTTTTGAAAGTGGTTAGCAATTATGCCCAATCCCTTTGTCTTCATTCCTTCCAATATGATAGGCCATTTTTCCATGCCACTAAGTCCATTTTGTTTTTTACTTTATTTCATCTTTTTTAGACATCTCTTTCTCTTCAATCTCTGTATTTTATTTTGACTTACTTTTCAGTTTAATATTTTTCTTTTTATTTTATTTTCGTCTGCTGGTAATCTCATTCATTGTATATCTAATTTAGTTATTTTGTCATTTCTAGAGTTTTCATTTGGGCCTGTTTGATTATTTCTCCCTCTTGTCTTTTAAATAGTGAGGGCCTTCATTCTATGACTCCAAGGAAGTGAATTAAGCCATGTGAGCTTAGAGATGACCCCAAGCCTCAGATGAAAATGCAGCCCTGGCTCTCAGCCTGTAAGACTCTTTGTAGAAGATCCAGATAAGAAGTCTCTAGACTTCTGATCTACAGGAACTTGGGTAATATGTGTGTGTGTTTTAAAGCTTCTAATTTTGTGGTGTTTAGTTGTAAAGCAACAGAAAACCAATACACTCACCATGTCAATCATAAGCACAATTAATAAATAGTGAAACTGAATAAATCTTAACAAGGCAGTCAAGTACTAATAAAGAATATCTGCATTGCGCAAAGGTAACTGCTGGCTAAGCCATGTTCCTTCAAGCGCTGCAGTAACCTTATGGGAGACCATTTTTAAAAAATCATCCATCCTGGTGCATAGCTTTTTATAACAAACAAATTCCATAAAGCCCACCTGCCAATAAGGAAGAGCAGTACTAATATTTTAAGACAAACGGAAGGGAAGATACTGAGTTTTCTAGATAAGGAAATACAAGATTTAAGGACTGTTACTAGTCCTAATTCTGGAGAACAATCAGAAAAGAAAAGAAATAGAGAAGTTTCAGTTGCGTGACTCATCTCTTAAAAGGGAAGTACAGATTTTTTTCCCCAAATCTAATTGAAGCCACCCATAGCAGAAACCTTATTATTGTCCCAGAGAAAGTGTTTATAATTAACAATGTTCTGCTTCTCTTTCCAGATGCTAAAATAGCCATATCTTTTAATAATTATGCCTGTGGTTTTTGAAATATTATTTGTAGTTTCTGTCTGGTGGCCTCATTAAGTTAAATTACATAACTTATATAACCTCCTTTTTTTGTCTCTCCAGACAGAAATACTGATTGCTTCTTTCCCCACAGGGCTGAGTAATCTCTATTTCACTTTGCTTAACATTGTATTGCATTTTTCGAGTAGATATAAATGTAAATGGAGGTAATGATTATGAGAAAGGATGTTGCCTGAAAGATTTAAAACAAAAGAAGAAATATAGACTTGGCATCCATATAGACAGAATAACACTGAAGTTACTAAAATCTAAGGAAATAACAGTTCAAAGCTGCAGAAAAAATTTGCATTTATAGGAGGAATGCCTAGTGTGCATTTGGTCTTCTTAAAGACCAAGGTCTGTAACTTCTGCAACTATGCTTTGGCAAACTTGTTCCTGAAAAATGATTATTTATTAGTGAAAATAAGTTTGAAGAACCTTTCACAACAAATAGTGCTTTGATCAAACTAGCTCTTCACTCCGCAAAAGCTTTAGAAGGCTGAGCCAGACTCATGCATCGATAAAATGATCGAATAAATAGATGCTAATACTAGTAGTAGCAGGGTGTGATTCCAGAGACTCTCACGTAATTTTTGCAAGAGCACCCTGTTAAAAAAGAATGGCTCCTACTCATGTCTGTGGAAGAATATTGTCTTCCATAAAATTAGAAGATTGACTGTAGGTTCGTTAACAGCTTCATTAAAGGTCTAACGCTAGCTTTAAATCCAAATAAAGACACCCTCAACTGCCTGAAAGTCAGAGTAATCAGTCTCACAATAAGAAAGCAAAACATCTAATTGCATCTTTAATGAAATGAATCATGTGACCCCTTATTCATCCTTGATAGTTACAAGTGCTAAGGAGGAAATCTGAACTAAGAAATAGAAACAAAAAAAGACAATGACAAGAGTATGACTTGAATACACTGCCTCTTTTTAGAAATCAGCGTTTTTGTATTCATTGGGTTGTAGGTATATCTGCAGCTAATGGGGGTGTGTGTGTGTGTCTGTATGTATATGTGTGTGTGTGTCGGTATGTATGTCGGTGTGTATTTTTTTTTAAAGGGAGCTATATGGTTGGACCCAAAATATTATAATATGTACCTCTTAGTTAAGTATTTATGTGTAATTTATATTATTGTATAAAAAATTTATACTTGTGCAACTTACATTATATGAGAATTCCAGAATAAATAAAGTTTAAGCAGTGTAGAAGTGTGAAGAGCAAGAATCCCCATTGGTCATTTAATGCTTTTTTTCTTAAAAAAAAAATTAACTGTTTTTTTTCTTTCTTTTTCTTTTCTTCCTTTTTTTTTTTTTTTTGGTTACCTTCAGGTTCCTAGTGCAGCTCTAACCCATTCTTTTAAAATATGTATAACATGCTATGTGTGGTGGCCCATGCCTGTAATCCCAGCACTTTGGGAGACCAAGACAGGAGGATCACTTGAGCCCAAGAGTTTGAGATTAGACTTGGCACCATAGTGATACCTTGTTTGTACAATTAATAAAAAACTTAGCCAGGCATGGTGGAGCTTGGGCAATCGAGGCTGCAGTGACAGAGTGAGCAACAGAGTGAGACCCCATCTCAAAAATAAATAAATAAAATAAAGTATTTGTAGCAGGCTCATTAGCTTTTGTCTTTTTTTTCCCCTGAAACGAAGTCTCACTCTGTCACCCAGGCTGCAGTGCAGTGGCCCAATATCTGCTCACTGCAACATCCGCCTCTCTGGTTCAAGCGATTCTCCTGCCTCAACCACCCGAGTAGCTGGGACTACAGGCATACACCACCATGTCAGGCTAATTTTTGTATTTTAGTAGAGATGGGGTTTTGCCATGTTGCCTAGGCTACTCTTTAACTCCTAACCTCAGGTAATCCATTCGCCTCAGCCTCCCAAAGTACTGGTATTACAGGAGTGAGTCACTGCGCCCGGCCCCATTAGCTTTTGTCTAATGTCTTTTTTTTCTTTCTTGTGGATTCTATACTTTGAAAGTATGTAGCCAATAATCTTGCACATAATTGTTTATTAGTCTAATGCAAATTATTCTATTTCATTTTTTGAGTGTCCTAATCCTTTTCTTTGTTGCATTTTCTACTTCTACCGATGGTGTTGTGTTTCATTACATATTTAAAAAAAATTTTCTGTGAGCTTATTTTGAAGCACACATTTTTTTTTCTTATAGGATTCTATATGATGTCTGTTTTTGAAGTATCATGCTAGAACAATTTCTATTTTGATTTTGTCTGGGGGCATCACTTGTTTGGAACAAGTTTTTAATAATGGTTTTTGACTTGGGATTTCTTTACGACAGCTGGGTAGAGTACATTTGGACTCTAAACTCTGTGGGGTATGATTTCACTTGTCCATGGGATAATTTCTTTCTACTCAGATTGAGGAGAAACATTAGATTTATTGTATACTCTTTTGGGTTCATATATCAAATTATTGATTTATTCTTTATCCAGAATTATATCCATTCCAGCAGTCTTGATTTTTTCAGAGACTTAAGTTGTAACTCCATACTTCCTGTGTATCTGAGCCTTAATCTCCTATTCCCGGAGGAATTGAAGGTTGAAAGCTAACCTTCTCAACATTACTGAGTCTGAAACTCTTTCATGGCTGCAGAAACATCAGCTTATGCACCTATTGCTTTGGCTTTCATCATATTCATTGTTTTGGTACTTGAATTTTTGTTTTTGTTTCTTTCATTTTAAGCTATAACATTTTTTAAAAAGAAAGAGACTTTTTAATTCAGCATCTATTGCCATCTATCATTGGAGTTGTTAGAAAAAGATTTTTAACATCAGTGTAGTTCATCAAATTGCTGGGAATAGAGGTCCACTTCCTCTTCTACATGGCTACTGCAAAGTCATTTTTGATACGGATATATATTTATTAATTTATTCTCTAATTCACTTAGTGATGGGTATTTAATTTCTTTTTTTACTTTTTGTAATTTTACTTATTTTAGTGATAATAGTCTTAATAAATAATATCCTGTGCATACATTCTAAATATGAGACAATGCCTCAGTAATGACATTGTTGCTTTAATGATGATGTAATTTTAAAAATTTTAACAGATATTATTAATCATCTTTCTAAGGACACTATAAAAATTTATTGTTGCTTGAAGGATTAAGCTATTTAATAAAGATAAGTAAAGAAATTAAAATATTTTTCTTAGAGTTTTGATATGAAAGCTTATAATTTAATACTTGATCTTCTAAATTCTGAAGGTGACTTTTATTTAAACAGAAAATAAATTATATAACACAAATGAAAGCAAAACACATAGATAGAATAATAAATCTGTCAACTTTGTGCATGGTTAACCAGGAAAGTTGAGATTAAGTGCACTATTTCTGAGACAAGAAACAAAAAAGAGATAAATTCTCACCTCCAAATAAAACTAATTCCAAACATCAACTCATGGTTAGTTGTTAGTTTTTTGCTTACTGGCTAATGCCGGGACCATTGCTGGTGCTTGATAGAATCCCTGGGGAGGCCATGGTCTGTGGTCATGTCAATGGAGTATCAATATGTGAGTTAGATCACTTTCAAGATAGCAGATAGAATAATTGCTTCTGTGAAATTTGACAGCTGCAGCCTTTAAAATTTATATTGTCAAATAATTTTAATTTCACTGTGGGGTGCTTGAACTAAATCTCTGTATTTGTTGACTGAAAATTTTTCTGTAAAACCAACCCAGTTTATCTGTTCAAAGAAGTTTCTGTAACTGATCCAGTTCTACTAACTATGCCTGAAATATATTTCTCATATCCCATGATCATATCTTATCTTACATAATAAATTTTCATAGGAACTTCTTACATTAAGTGACTATGTCATAAATATTTTTGCATGGTACACCCACCTTCAAAACATACACTAATGCGCAGAACACAGGATTTGGCACATGGATAATGTAATATTAATAAATAGGTTGTTTAATTTTATACCAGCGATATTTTATAGGGGGAAGGCAATATAGAGTGTTCCTTAAGGTAAGAATGTTACTGTAGTAAAAACCCTCAGAGTAACTGAATTTATGTCCTTACTTTTTCCTCAGTTTTGAAGATGATCATTTGACAGAGTAATGTCAGCAATGACAAGAAGAAAAACGTTTTTCGTAACTATTTTGAGCTAAATGTTGTGCTAAGTACTTTCCAAACATCATCTGTCCTAAAATATATAGCGATCCTATGAGGTAGATGCATTTATCATTCCATTTTACATTTGAGGAAACCAAGGTTTAGAGTTTACTTAAGGTACTTAAATCACATAGCTGGTAAGCAGTGAAACTAAAATTTGAGTCTAGAAAATCTAAATTCAGGTCTGGATTTATAACAGCTCTGTAATACTGCCTCTGTGTCTTCTCTTATCCTCTTGAAGCTAAAATTATAATTTCAGTGTTCAGTAAGCATACCACCACCTTTTTAGACAGACTTTTGTACACTATAAGAATAACATATCTAAACAATTCCAATAAAAAGAAAAGCCAAAACCTATTTATTTTCAATTAACTCTTGATTATCTATCAACTGACAATCAGTGGTATCAAGGTCTATTTTTTTCCCTTATCTGGACTGGGGCAGAGCCAATTTGGGGATAGTCAAATGAAAAGGAATTCAAAGCAGTGTCACAGGTCTCTGAATTTATGTCTGCTATCAAATAATGGTAATTCTAGCATTAATACTATTGGATCAGGAACTATACTTAGAGTACAGTCAAATGATATATTTCAATAACTCTTTTCCACATGAATAAAGCAAAACCTGAGAATATTAAGTGACTTCACAAATTTGTGCAACTAGTAAGTAGGGGTTCCAGTAATCAAATCTTACGCAGTATTCAATTACTTTATTCAACAAGTACTTATTAAGAACCTATCAAACGTCAAGGACATTTCTATGTAAATAAAACTGACAAAATTTCTTGCCCTTTTAGAGTTTACATTTTATTGGAGATATATAAGTGGATAAGTTAAATATATTTTATGTCCACTAGCAATAAATTCTATGAAAAAAACATGTAAAATGGAAAATGAGAATAGGGAGAGTTTGAAGAAAGGTGGGATGGAGGTGTGCAGGTTACAATTTTAAATAAGCTGGTCAGGAAAGTACTCGCCAAGAATTGAAGGAAGTGAGAGAATGAAGCATTTGGGGGTCCCTGCCTATGATGGTTTATTTTGTGTGTAAACTTGGCTGGGGTATGGTGCCAAGTTGCTTTTTTAAACACCAGTCTAGATATTGTTGTGAAATTTGTGTTTCTTTTTAGATGTGATTAACTTTTAAATCAGTAGACATTATGTAGAGCAGATTAACTTTCATAAAGTGGATGGACCTTAGCTAATCAGTTAAAGGCCTTTAGAGAAAAAGCTGTGCTCCCCTGAATAAGAAGGAATTCTGTCTCCAGACCGCAACATAGAAATTCTGCTTGTCGGCCGGGCGTGGTGGCTCACGCCTGTAATCCCAGCACTTTGGGAGGCCGAGGCGGGCGGATCACGAGGTCAGGAGATCGAGACCATCCTGGCTAACACGGTGAAACCCCGTCTCTACTAAAAATGCAAAAAATTAGCCGGACGCGGTGGTGGGCGCCTGTAGTCCCAGCTACTCGGGAGGCTGAGGCAGGAGAATGGCGTGAACCCAGGAGGGGAGCTTGCAGTGAGCCTAGATAGCGCCACTGTACTCCAGCCTGGGTGACAGAGCGAGACTCCGTCTCAAAAAAAAAAAAAAAAAAAAAAAAAGAAAAAAAAAGAAATTCTGCTTGTCTCCAACCTATGAACTTAAAGACTGCAGCATCAACTTTTTTTTTAGAATTTCCAGCCTGTCCTATGAGCATCAGACTTTCCTGCCTTCCAAATGACTTGAGACATTTCCTTCAAATAAATCTCTTATCTATTATCTATCTATCTATCTATCTATCCGTCTATCATCTCTCTATCCTAATGGTTCTGTTTTCTGTTTTTCAGAATCCTAATACAGTACTGCTATGGCCTGAAATATGTCCCTCAAAATTCATTTGTTGAAATTTAATGGCCAATGATGATAGTATTAAGAAGTGGGTTCTTTAGAAGGTGATTAAATCATGAGTGTAGGGCACTCATGGAAAGGATTAAAGCCCATATAAAAGGGCTTGAGAGAGTGTGCCCACGGCCATCTTGGTGAGGTCTTCATCATACACCTAATGCTGACACCTTGAGCATGTGCTTCCCAGCCTCCAAAGCTGTATTATTTGTAAATTACCCAGTCTCAGGTATTTTTATAGCAGCACAAATGAACTAAGATATTTTATTCAATTGATTCACTCAATAATGTCTTTTTTTTTAGGTTTAATAGGTGTGAGTTGCCATATGAAGGACTTGTAATGCAATGTTGAACAAAAAAGTGACAGGAACCTTGACCACATGGATTTTCAAAATAACAATGAGGACAGACAGAATAAATAAGATAATCATAAAAGAATAAAATATTAAGACTGTGACAGGTGTTTGAAGGAAAGGAATTGGTGTCATTAGGGTAAAGGATAGATAGAGCTTGATCTAACCGTGGACAGTGGTTGAGCAGGGAAAGTTTCCCTTCAAAGTACAATCTGAGCTCATATCTGAAGGAAGAATAGAGCTAAATTAAGACTATTGAGAGCTAGGGTTTGGATCATGATGCTAAGACTCAGAAATAAAGTATGTTTCAGGTATAGAAATACGAGTAAAATATGATGATCAAATGATCATCTGTCATATGATAATCAAAATATATGCAAAAGTCATTGGCAGGAGGACGTATGATTTGAGAAGCAGAATGAAGGCATGTGTGTCTAAAACCAGAGGTCAAGGAGCAATGTGGTATGAAATAGGATTTATAAGGGTGAATAAAGGCCAGACCAGGCAGGGTCAGTACCTTTATTGCTACTGACTTCTGATTGGGTAGTTGCTATGGGCCAAATGTTGGCATGCCCCCAAAATGTAACTTAACTGCCAATGTGTTCGTGTTAAGAGGAAGGGCCTTTAAGAGGTGAAGTCATGAGCAAAAAGCACTCAAGAATGGAATTAGTACCCTTATAAAAGGAATACCAAGGAAACTGTTTGCTTCTTCTGCCCTCTTCCATCCTGTGAAGGCACTATTTTGGAAGCAGAGAGCACATCTGCGCTAGACACTGAAACTGCTGGCGCCTTGATCTTGAATCTCCCAGCCTCCAAAACTGTGAGAAATAAATTTCTGTTGCTTACAACTAACCCAGTCTAAGTATTTTATTGTAGCAGCAGGAATAGACTAAGACAGTAATCTACTAACATTTTCAGAATATGTTCACCTGTAGTTTTCTTATTTTATTTTCATACCATCCATGTGATACAGATAGTTTAAACTAGAGTTGACAGATGGAGTCACAGATTCAATTTAATGCCCAAGGTCCCAAAACAAGTTAATGTTGGAAGGGGGAACCAAATGTTATGAATTCCAATGCTGGGTAAATTCTCCCAGGCCATGCTGAAAATTTAATTTGATTTCCAGATCTCTTCCTTCTTACTTGATTTTTGTCAATGATATTTGATTGTGCATCTAAAACCAAATAGCAAGCATACAAAATTGGTGTAGTTTTGTAGACTAGAGATTTCAGACCCTTGTCTTTTTGTCTGGTACTTTGGGTTTAATATTAAACCACTATCAGTAGAAACTGCAGCAATTTTTACTGATATGCTCAAACCAAAATTCTTAAAATAATTATATATTTTTTCAGTTCTTGATTTTATTTTAAATTATTGTTGTATTTAATACAACTGTGAGACTCAAGGAGCTTGATTATTTATACTCTGTAACTGTGAATCTCTCTTTATATATCGATTTATGTAAATGTTCCAATGGGATTGCCTTCACACAATGTGATAAATTCCATATACATGAAATGTCCTCAAAAACTAAGAAATATGGGAATTCTATGAAAGTATTTAACGAGACCAACTTGTGCTGGTTCAATATTATCCTTCTGTGATAAAAATGATTCCAAACCTAAGCTCTAAGAATCATTCCTCTACAAGTCCAACATTATATGCTAGCCCCAGTTTAGCACGGGAGGTAGATTTATAGGGGAATTGTGTACGGCACTATAGGGATATTTCTCACTCACTTAGTATCAACTAGAAAGTTTTCCAAAATACAATCAATATTCATAAATGCTTACATACACAGTACACATTTGGCTCAATTGAATCCACATTCCCATCAAACACAGAATTCCCAGGATAAAATAAAGCAATAATACCAAGACCAATTACACCATGGGGGCTTTAATATCTCAGAAAACTTTCAGACACTTATTTCTATAATTTAATAATTATTAACACGATTTAAAATTCA